>NC_000006.12:14908484-15060000 GCF_000001405.40 Homo sapiens
GCCAGGAACTGGGAGTAGGAGACTGACTATGAGCTCAGTATAAAATAACTTTCTGGGGCTGGGTGCGGTGGCTCACGCCTGTAATCCCAGCACTTTGGGAGACCGAGGTGGGTGAATCACTTGAGGTCAGGAGTTTGAGACCAGCCTGACCAACATGGTGAAACCCCCTCTCTACTAAAAATACAAAAATTACCTAGCTGTGGTGGCACATGCCTGTAATCCCAGGTACTTAGGAGGCTGGGGCAGGAGAGCTGCTTGAACCTGGGAGGTAGAGGTTGCAGTGAGCCAAAATCACATCACCGCACTCCTGCCTGGGCAACAGAGTGAGACTGTCTCAAAAAAAAAAAAAAAAAAGAACTTTCTGGAGTGATAAAATGTTCCATACCTTGACAGTGGTGGTGCTCACACAGCTGTATGTTTGTCAACATTTATCCAACTATTCTCTTGAAAGGGATGGATTTTTCTGTATGTAAATTATACCAAAATACACCTGATTTATAAAAGCACACAAAAGCCAGTTGGAAGGGACTCCCATCAGCCAAATCTAGGACAATTTAAACATCAAAATAAATAACAATAGTAATGAATAATAAGCCACTGAGTGAAAAAAGATTCTCTGAGTCCATGCTGATATAAATAAAGAAAGAAATAAATAAGGGAAAGGAGAAAGTTCATGCTAACAGGAAATGCCAGCTGATAAATGTGAATAATAAAATTAGAAAAACAAGCATTTGATTATTACTGTGATAATGATTAACTCATTCAAGAATCATCAAGCCAGGGCCCAGCATGGTGGCTCACACCTGTAATCCCAAAGGTTTGGGAGGCCAAGGTAGGAGGATCACTTGAGCCCACGAACTTAAGACCAGCCTGGACAACAAAGTGAGACCCCATCTCTACAAAAAAAAAAAAAATTTAAAAATTAGTTAGGCATCGTGCACACCTGTAGTCTGTTACTCAAGAGGCCGAGGTGAGAGGATCCTCTTGTAACTTGAGTTCAAGGCTACAGTGAGCTACAGTGAGCCACGTTCACACCACTGAATTCCAGTCTGGGCAACAATAACAACAACAACAAAATATAAATGGATGCTAAAAATAATGGATAATAGTTTGTTGAGAAACAGAATACTTGTATAGTCTGGAATTATCTCCCCACATTGTACTTATTAATTGCAAAGGGAAAAATAATAATTTTACAATATAGAAACCTGGTAGACGAATAAAGTGATCAAAATCTATCCTCTATAATGAGACAAACTGACATTATAAGTCTTCTATATAAAACACTGAGAAGTGCTTTAAATCTTTGATATAAAACATGACCCTGACCAGGCATAGTGGCTCACACCTGTAATCCCAGCACTTTGGAAGGCCGAGGTGGGTGGATCACCTGAGGTCAGGAGTTCGAGACCAGCCTGGCCAACACGATGAAACCCTGGCTCTACTAAAAATACAAAAATTAGCCAGGTGTGAGGGAAGGTGCCTGTAATCCCAGCTACTCAGGAGGCTGAGACAGGAGAATCACTTGAACCTGGGAGGCGGAGGTTGCAGTGAACAGAGATCATGCTGCTGCACTCCATCCTGGATGACAGAGCGAGACTCCATCTGTTCTGTAGATCTGAAATTAGTTCAAAATGTAGATGTTTAGGAAATAAATTAACTGAACCCTGATTCATGGATGTATTATGATTTTCTCATTGTATAGACCTGACACAAATTAGGTACATTCTATGGCACATCTCATTTAGGGAAATTAAAGGGAAAAAGGTACATTCGGGAAAAGGTGAGCACAGGGATGAAGACACCATCTCCATATCCCTCGGCTGCTTCATTAACAGCCTGTTATTTTACAGCGAGGCCAGTGACACCTTGTCTATGCTTGAGTTTTCTCCACAACACAAGCAAAGTATGATGAACAGTATGATGCGGTACTAGCTCCACAGTACCATGGGAACTAGCTAGAGATTTCTCACCTGCTCCTTCATGTAACCTTTTGGCTTTTTGTTCCTGTCCTCTATTTATGAAAGAAGTAAAATGATAAGAAAGCATGCACAGTTTGTGATAGTGGATTAGCAGGTCACAAGCAGGTCTGTCTACCCTCCTTCCAGGACATCCGAGTTTCACCTTTGAAATTACAATGGTGGATCTGTCCCCTCCCCGATCTAACATTTTAATGTCCTCCTTTAGGCTTTAGACATCAGTGTCCAGACGTCCTATGAGTGGAGTCTCCAGCACCCACAGAAGTGGCTCCCTGTTGTCCCTGTGGTTCCCCAAATGTCACTGCTCTTCCCCAGCAAGAATTTGGCCGTGGCTTGATCCGAAGCAGCTGTTGCATGGCGCAACAGTGCAGAACAGTTTGGGACAGGAAGTGAAAGAGACCACATCCTCTTGAAACTGCAGGGAAAGTTTATTAGGCCTCGTATCATGGCTTCACATTGTTAGGAAGTGGCAGTTGGACTCTCCTCTGCCTCAGGAGTTTGGATGAGGCATTGGTCACTGTGTTGTCTGCCTCTTGACTTTCATCTGGAGAAGAATGCCAATGCCTACCCCGGCGCTTGACCAGAAAACTCCTTAGACAGTCACTCTGAAGGCTCCTAGAAAGTGAAAATCGTGAAAACGTATTGAAGGCCTGCTATGCCTCTGTCTGAGCACTTAAAACACTTAGAATTTGAGAATCCTGGAGCCACTTAAAATTGGCCTTGGAGTCTGATATGGTTTGGCTCTGTGTCTCCACCCAAATCTCATGTCGAATTGTAATCCCCAGTGTTGGAGGAGGGGCCTGGTGGGAGGTGACTGGATCATGGGAGTGGATTTCCCCTTTGCTGTTCTTGTGAGAGTGAGAGTTCTCACAAGGTCCGGTTGTTTAAGGGTGTAGCATCTCCCCCTTGTCTCTCTTCCTCCTGCTCTGGCCGTAGAAGACGTGCCTGCTTCCCCTTCCCCTTCTGCCATGATTGAAAGTTTCCTGAGGTCTCCCCAGCCATGCTGCCTGTACAACCTCTGGAACCATGAGCCAATTAAACCTCTTTTCTTTATAAATTACCCAGTTTCAGGTATTTCTTTATAGCAGTGCAAGAACAGACTAATACAGAGCCCATTTCACCCAATCTGACAATCTAGTTGCAGACAAAACATACACACTAGCAAATATCCTTGCAGTTCCAGGCCATGAATTTAAGAAGTCAGATGTACGGTAGCAGTCGTTAAGTGCAGGAGGCACAGGAAAAGCTGTGATTATGGAAATCTTAGGACTGCCCTCCTATACCCAAAGAGAGGAAGGTGAGGAACCCTGTCCCCAAAACCTTAATTTCCAGAACAAGCCCTCCACCTGAGGAAACAGGAATTAACAGGCAACAAAGATAAAAGGGGAGATGGGTTCAGGGTCTTAGGGCTAGGGAAGGAGAGGAGCAGGTGGCAAGTTGAGAGGGAAGGTTTAATAACATGAGATTGCCTCGGTTCAACAAAGAAGCTCCTAATCTCGAAGCTGAGTCTCTTACACATGTGAGTTTTTAATCAGAGGCCCCAAAACAGTAATCAATCTGTAGTTTCCACCAACACAAATGAGACGCATGGGAAGGAAGGAAGTAGGAAAGAAGTATTGCTTTGTTTTTGGTTTGTTGGGGCTTTTTTCTTTTCTCCTCTGGTCCACCTAAATCGGTTTGTGTGCTTAGCCCATTGCCTGAGGTATTGTTTGCATTGTCTTTCTCCTCTAGCCTCCCCCAGCTACCATCCCCTTCATCTCACATCCAAAGCTCTGGATGTGGGTTCGATAGGAAGATGGCAAACACCAGCATGTACCCTAGATCAGACATAAGGAGTAGAGCCTGTCTGGCAAGCCACCAAGCTTGGCTCTCTTGGAGGTTCTGCAAAGGGAGATAAAATGTGCCTTTTGCAGTGAAATGTTTGTGGACTTTGTATCAAATTCATGGTGCAGACATCTCTGCGGGGCAGCCGGACACAAAGCAGAATCCCCGGTCCAGCTCACTGCCAAGCCCCACCTCCCACTGCGCAGCCCAGGACGGTGCAGCCCTGGCCTTCGGTGCTCACCAGAGCGGAAGAGAGCTGCTACGGGGTCTGGACATGGGGGCTGTTACCTCCCCACACACAGTGGTCAGGCAGGTGGTATGTAACAGAGGTCCGCAGGCATGGCCTGCCACCATTGCCTGCAGGCTTTCCACTTTACGTTAGCCCACATGCTAGTGATCAGCCAGTCCATGCAGTTTGGGGTCCTCTGGTTTTCAGCCTGCATTGACTTATAATCTTCCTCATTTCTGAAGCTGAGTTAACAGACTCCCTCTGGAATGCCCACAGGTTCCTGCAACCACACAGTCTAGGGGTAAACCCTTCCCAAGACCAAGTCTGTAGGAAGCTCTAAGGTTAGAAATGGGTCACTGAGAGACAATATCAATTTCAATTACAGCTCTAGGCTCCTTGAGACCTTGTGACAAGCCACTTAAGGCAAGACTGAGTTTGACTCTGAGGCACCTCTAGTAGTGAAGCTCCTTTGCCTCAAAGAGCAGCATAACATCATGCTTCCCAGTCATCTGTCCCTGGCTTCTCTGTCCCCTCCCGCTTCCGCCCACTAACAGATCAGACTAGGTCTAGGCAAAATCCCAAATCATTTTCCCTCCCAGTCTGTGGGTTCCTGAAGTCACCAGAATTAGACTAACTCATTCACCTTGCTCAGATGAAGACACTGTCACCTTGTTAAATTGCAAAGACTTCACCTGTTCTTGCTTTGCAAGAGTTAATTTTTCAGGAAGAGTTTACTGTTGCCCAGCAAAAAACCTGAGGAAATGACAATGGGATAGGTACATTTGTTAAGGAAGCAGAGGAAAGGGAACTTTGGAAAAAGGAGTGAGGTAGGGTGATGACAGGATAACAGGGAAACAGTATAAAAGAAGAGAAAGATCAAAGCTGAATTGGGGTGAGGAGATGACACAGCTAAGGATATACTGTTTGCCTCTTACAATTTTTGCTGGAGTCAAACTTTAAAAGTTGAATAGCCTCCCGACAGCTGCTATATTTCTCTTCCCTTTGCTTGAAGTAGGATTTGGAAGAAAGTTATTTGTCTTTGTGCTCTCGATAAAGCATATTAAATAATATGTCTGTGTGTCTCAAAGACCTTGAACAACCTCAGATGGACTCTAAACCAGCCCTTATTCCTTCGTTCTGCAGGTTCAGAATTGTATTCACTTCCCAGGGCGAAGGTGACCCTCTGGGTGGCCTCCACCCTCATCCTAATTAGTATCAGCCGGCCTTTCAGAAAGGGAACATGGAATAGAGAGGTAAGAACCATCGTGGATGGCAAAACCATCTGCCTTGATTAAGAAAACAATTCTATTTACAATAGCATCAAAAAGAGTTGAATACCTAACCAAAGAGACAAAAGGTTTACATACTGAAAACTACAAAATGTTGCTGAAAGAAACTAAAGACAAAAATAAATTAAAAAAAAACCCTTGTTAATGATTGTAAGATTTAATACTCTTAAGATGTCAATACTACCCAAAGTGATCTGTAGATTTAATGCAATCCCAATCAAAATCCCAATGGCATTTTTTGCAAACACAGAACATTTCATCCTAAAATTTATATGGAATCTCAAGGGACCACAAATAGCCAAAACAATCTTGAAAAAGAACTAAGTTGGAGGTCTCACACATCCTGATTTCAAAACGTATTACAATACCATAATAATAAAAAACAGCAGGCTACTGGCAAAGAGACAGACCAGTAGAATAGAATAGAGAATTCAGAAATAAACCTTTGCATATACGGTTAAGTGATATTTTGCCAAGACTATCCAATAGGGAAAGGACAACAGTGGGCACTGGGAAAGCTGAATATACACATACCATATACAAAAAAATTAAATCAATGTGGGTCAAAGGCCTACATGTAAGACCTAAAGCTATAAAACTCTCAGAGGAAAACAAAAAACCTTCAGAGATTGGATTTGGCAATGATTTCTTGAATATGACACCAATGGCAAAGGCAACAAAAGAAAAAACATACTAATTGAACTTCATCAAAATTAAGAATCTCTTTCCATCAAAAACCACTATTAACAGAGTAAAATGGTCACCCACAGAATGGGAGAAAATATTTGCAAATCACATATCTGATAAGGGTTTAATAAATATCTAAAATATAGAGAGAATGCCTAAAACTCAACAGCCCCCAAAAAATCTATTAAAAATGGGCAAAGGACTTGAACATTTTCCCAAAGAAGATATACAAATGTGGTCATCTTTTTATGTTTCTGAGCTTCTGAAAGATGCTCAACATCACTAGTCATTAAGGAAATGCAAATCAAAACAACAATTAAATATCATCCCATACCAATTAAGATGTCTACTATAAAAGAGAAAAAACAAAAAACAGAAAATAAATATTGGTGAAGATGGGGAGAAATTAGAACCCTAGTGCCTTACTAGTGGGAATGTCAAATGACCAGCCTGGGCAACATGGCAAAACCCTGTCTCCACAAAAGTCACAAAAAATTAGCCAAGGCCAGGCACGGTGGCTCGTGCCTGTAATCCCAGCACTTTCGGAGGCCAAGGCAGGCAGATCACCTGAGGTCAGGAGTTCGAGACCAGCCTGGCCAACATAGGGAAAACCTGTCTCTACTAAAAATACAAAAATTAGCTGGGCATGGTGGCGGGCACCTGTAATCCCAGCTACTCGGGAGGCTGAGGCAGGAGAATCAATTGAACCCAGGAGGCGGAGGTTGTAGTGAGCTGAGATTGTGCCATTGCACTCCAGCCTGGGTGACAGCAGCAAAACTCCATCTCAGAAAAAAAAAAAAAAAAAATAGCCAGGTGTGGTGGCACATGCCTGTAGTCCCAGCCACTCAGGAGGCTGAGGTGGAAGGATCGCTTGAACCCAGGAGGCAGAGGTTGTAGTGAGCCAAGATGGTGCCACTGCACTCCAGCCTAGGCGATCCTGTCTCAAACAAAAAAGAAAAAAAAGAGAGAGAGAAAGAAATTTACTATAAGCAAACCCTCCAAACCTACAATAGCTCTCTTTATAGTTTTATCAACTTGGCTTAATCCAAGTCTCAACTCTGATTTGCAACCCCTTCTACAATTCATCTCATGTTATCTCTTACTGGTCCTTATTCAGGGCATACCCTCTGATCCAACCAAGATGCTGTTCCCTGGGTCATTCCTCTGACTTTTCCAATTACCAATGACACCCTCTCAACCCATTCAACCTTTCTACTCTTCCTTCAAGACCTAGCTCATATCCCCACCTTCTGCACACAGACTACAACTATTAGAACCTACCTCCTCTCCCAGTTCTCTGAGGTCCTACCATGCTATTGAGAGGTAACAGCCTGCTGGCAGCCCTCACAGCACGCTCGCTCTCGGCATCTCCTCTGCCTCGGCGCCCACTCTGGCGGCGTCTGAGGAGCCCTTTAGCCCGCCGCTGCACTGTGGGAGGCCCTCTCTGAGCTGGCCGAGGGCGGAGCCGGCTCCCTCTGCTTGCGGGGAGATATGGAGGAAGAGGCGCGAGCGAGAACCGGGGTTGCATGCAGCACTCACAGGCCAGCACGAGTTCTGGATGGGCTCGGCAGGCCCCGCACTCGGAGCAGCCGGCCAGTGCCGCCGGCCCCAGGCAGTGAGGGGCTTAGCACCCGGGCCTGCAGCTGCGGAGGGTGCACCAGGTCCCCCAGCAGTGCCGGCCCGCCGGTGCCGCACTGGAATTCTAGCCGGGCCTCAGCTGCCTCCCCACGGGGCAGGGCTCGGGACCTGCAGCCCGCAGTGCCCAAGCCTCCTCCTGCTGTGGGCTCCTGCACAGTCCAAGCCTCCCCGACAGGCACCGCCGAGGTCCCATCAACCACCCAAGGGCTGAGGACTGTGGGCACATGGAGTGGTGCTGGCGGGCAATTCTGCCAGGGGCCCTGGTGCGGGACCCACTAGGTGAAGCCAGCTGGGCTTCTGAGTCTAGAGGGGACTGTGGAGAACCTTTATGTCTAGCTAAGGGATTGTAAATACACCAATCTGCACTCTGTGTCTAGCTCAAGGTTTGTAAATGCACCAATCAGTGCTCTGTGTCCAGCTAATCTAGTGGAGACTTGGAGAATTTTTGTGTCTAGCTCAGGGATTGTAAATGCATCAATCAGCACCCTGTCAAAATGGACCAATCAGCTCTCTGTAAAACAGACCAATCAGCAGGATGTGAGTGGGGCCAGATAAGGGAATAAAAGCAGGCAGCCCCAGCCAGAAGTAGCAAGTGGCTCTGGTTCTCTTTAACAGTGTGGAAGCTTTGTTTTTTCGCTGTGTGCAATAAATGTTGCTGTTGTTCGCTCTTTGGGTCCGCACTGTGTATGAGTTGTAACACTCACCATGAAGGTCTGCAGCTTCGTTCCTCAGGCCAGCGACATCACGAACCCACTGGGAGAAACGAACAATTCCGGACGGGAGAAAGAAACAACTCCAGACGCGCCGCCTTGAGAGCTGTAATACCACAAAAATCTGCATCTTCTACTCCTGAAGCTAGCGAGACCACGAACTCACCAGAAGGAATAAACTCCAAACACGTCTGAACATCAGAAGGAACAAACTCCAGACACCCCACCTTTAAGAACTGTAACACTGACCGTGAGGGTCCGCGGCTTCATTCTCGAAGTCGGTGAGACCAGGAACCCACCGACTCTGGACACACTATTGTCTGAACACTGTAATTTAGTGCTTTCTTTATTGGGCTAACATCACCTGAACCCTCTTTGCATTCAGACCACTAGGCTAGAGACTAAATTAGATTCCTCAAACACTGCTCTTCAGCTGACTCATTCATAAATCCTGCCCTGACTACCAGACGGTCAAGTTTCTTAAGGATGAGACCGTGCATATCTTTTCATTGCCTCTGCACAAGACGGAGCGCTAGGGCCAATAAAAAGGATTCATTGCTTTCATTGCAAATTTAGTAACAGGGTAGATATAATAGGAAAAAAAACTTTAAAATCTTAGAATTTGAACAAAAGTTCAAAAGTTCAGGACTTTGAGCAAAAGCATTTATTTATGCAAAATTCTTCCTGGTACTCCTCCCTTCTCACCACCAAAAATCCCTTAAAGTAGGTAATGTAAGGGGAGAAGCATGAAATTAAGATAGGCGCTGTGGAAAAAAAAGTGCTTTGGAGTTTGTCATATTCCGTTTGACAGTCTATCTGTAGGCAGAATGTTGACAGTTTTGGCAAAGGAAGACAGTTTGAGGACAGAAAAGATGAGCTGAGAATCCTTCCTTGCATTGCAGTTTAGATCACCATACTTCAGGTTAATCCCTTGCAACAGTAACTAGACATGCCGTTGTCAATCCAACCATCCACCAGCAAGCTTGCAGAAGTATCTTCACGATTCAAAAGCCACACGTCAGACCCAGTGGGCCTCTGCTTCCCCCATACTCCATTTGGGAACATTTGGTTGAACTTGAGATTTCCTAGCAGAGTGGTCCCCTTGTCAGTTCAGTGAGTTCATACGTTAAGTAGAGTCTGAGTAAATATAATTATGTATGATTTAAGATTTCTTTTTTCAGCCAGGCGCAGTGGCTCTTGACTGCAATCCCAGAACTTTGGGAGGCTGAGGCGGGCAGATCACCTAAGGTCAGGAGTTTGAGACCAGCCTGACCAACATGGTGAAACCCTGTCTCTACTAAAAATACAAAATTAGCCAGGCGTGGTGGTGCATGCCTGTAATCCCAGCTACTGGGGAGGCTGAGGCACGAGAATCGCTTGAACCGAGGAGGCAGAGAGGTTGCAGTGAGTCAAGATCGTGCCATTGCACTCCAGCCTGGGCAACAAGAGAGAAATTCCATCTCAAAAAAAAAAAAAAAAGATTTTTCGAAAGGAACCAACTCATGAAAATTTCATAGAAAGGAAATAGGAAATCAAGCGGAGGATGTAAAAATGTGAAGAATCATAGAAGCAAACGTGTTAAGTGGGAACTTCCTAAAGCGTTTTTACTTTCTCTGGTTATGTATTCTACTTATCACCAAAATTGAGACTAACAAGCTTCTGTTTTCCTTAGCAGATCTCCTGAAGGATGGAACCAAAGGAGGCAGTGTTCAGCGAGTTCTTTCTGGAAGCTGCTCTGGGCACATTTACCTCTCTCCAACCCACCTCAAAGGACAGCGAATACTGGATCAGTCCCGAAGGGTCTGGCAGCAACAAAAGGTGTTGACTACTCCAATGAAAGGGCTACTTAGCCCAAGCGCTGTACACACAGAGGTGTTTCTCCCCCAGCTCCTGCTGGCCAGCACCGATGCCAGGTCAGGCCCTTCAAACAAGCCCATTATATCCCCAGGAAAGAGGCGGGGCAGGCCCAGGTGGGAAAGGGCCCATGTTTAGACATCCACAATTCATCAAGCCAAAGGGAAAGCAAAGAAAATATTTAAACGACCGCTAAACCAGGGCAGCTGGGCCAGGAGACAAACAGCTGAGGTGAGCTGAGGGATCTGAGGGGCTTTCTACACCCCAAGAGCTGCTGGAAGATTAACTTTCCTTTCCTGTCTTCCCTCCTTCAGAGTCCTGCCTCACTAACTGGCTCTGAGAGACCTTCTAGAAGCAGTTGTGCTGATCATATTAGGTTTGTACAAACCTCAGAGCTTGTGTGCACTGCAGAAAGGCCAATGATCTGAAGGTGAAAAACAGATTTAGGCCATTTTTACAGCACAGCCAGCTTCCATGGCTTCTATTTTATCTTCCAGAATGAACGTTCTTTTTTTTAATTAGATACTGGGGTCTCACTATGTTGGCCAGACTGGTTTTGATCTCCCAGACTCAAGCAATCCTCCCACCTCAGCCTCCCAAAGTCCTGGAGTGACAGGTGTGAGTCACCATGCCCAGACACATTCATATTTTAGTTTCTAAAGATCAGTGAACGTTTCAAATATCAAGATCCCTTTTAAGTCAAATAATATCCTCAACAATCACATGATAATAATTGTATTTTAATTTCCTTGGGTGGAGAAAGCACATGGCCACAAAAGGCCACTGTCAATTATGTAATTCTTTTATCATAAATATGTATGATTTCACAACAGTCTTTTCAGATATTTGAAAAACTTAGAAGAAGACAGCCGGGCGCAGTGGCTCACGCCTGTAATCCCGGCACTCTGGGAGGCTGAGGCAGGCGGATCACAAGGTCAGGAGATCGAGACCATGGTGAAACCCCGTCTCTACTAAAAATACAAAAAAATAAAAATAGCCGGGTGCGGTGGCGGGCGCCTGTAGTCCCAGCTACTCAGGAGGCTGAGTCAGGAGAATGGCGTTAACCCGGGAGGCGGAGCTTGCAGTGAACCGAGATTGCGCCACTGCACTCCAGCCTGGGCAACAGAGCAAGACTCCGTCTTGGAAAAAAGAAAAAGAAAAACTTGGTAGAAGACATTATTCTGGCTGGGTGCGGTGGCTCACGCCTATAATCCTAGCACTTTGGGAGGCTGAGGCAGGTGGATCACCTGATGTCAGGAGTTCGAGATCAGCCTGGCCAAGATGGTGAAACCCCATCTCTACTTAAAAATACAAAAATTGACTGGGCGTGGTGGTGCATGCCAGTAACCTCAGCTACTCAGGAGGCTGAGGCAGGAGAATTGCTGGAACCTGGGAGGCGGAGGTTGCCATGACACGAGATTACGCCACTGCACTCCAGCCTGGGCGACAGAGCAAGACTCCATCTCAAAAAAAAAAAAAAAAAAGACATTTTTTTTTGCCATCTTCCACCTTATGTCCCATCAATCATCAATGTCACCCTCTGTCCCCTTGTCCCTCTTTGAGGATTCAATCTCGGGTTATCCTAGGGCCAGGGCTCAGAAATCCCAAAATACATTGTCACAGCAGACAGAGGCTTGAGGAGGGGCTTAAGGGAGGGGAATATTGTCTCACCCACTAACAATCTCCACTTGCTGGCTCCCACCTCTCTTTCTAAAAGCAGAGACCAGAAGCACAGCAGACACCAGAGCTGGAAGGGCTGGAGGAGTCTGCCCAAATGCACATGGTTTCCCAATGCCCACACATGAGGCGACTGCTAAAAGTCCTCGGAGATGAGGTTTGGGTTTTCAATGTTATTTTCTCAAGAACAGAGTAACCAAGTGAAATCTGAGATTCTCCAGTTAGAAAACTAGGAATCACTTGTGATATTTGGGGGACAGCAGTTTGGAATCATCTACTGAAAAAACTAAAGCCTTGAGCTGGATGTTAGGCACCCTGGCAGGGTAAGAAAAGATAAAAAATCAATAAAAATTTAAAAGTTCTGGCCAGGCACAGTGGTTCACACCTGTAACCCCAGCACTTTGGAAGGCCAAGGCGGGCAGATCACTTGAGCTTAGGAGTTCGAGACCAGCCTGGCCAACACGGTGAAACCGTGTCTCTACTAACAATACAAAAATTAGCCAGGTGTGGTGGCATGTGCCTGTAATCCCAGCTCTCGAGAGGCTGAGGCATGAGAATCGTTTCAACCCTGGAGACAGAGGTTGCAGTCAGCCAAGATCGCACCACTGTACTCCAGGGTGGGTGACAGAGTGAGACTCCGTCTCAAAAAAAAAAAAAAAACCAAGCAATCTTTTTTACATCCACTAAATCAAATGTCAGCTATTGAAATAAAGCAGTTGACAATTCAGGCTTTTGTGCAGTCTTAAGCAGGCAATCAATTAATATTTAAAGAATGAATGAGAAAGAAGTAGCCATGGCTACTGCCCAGATGACAACATGGGGATGCCCAAGTTTCTCCCCACAGTCTCTGTTCCTCCCTGCGTCGGGGACACCAGGGCCTGGGACAAATTTGATCTGGAGGTTGACGCGCGTCAGGGCCACGCCCACGCTCACTTCCCATCTTTCACCCAGGCAGATCCCAAAGCACTTGTCGAGCCACGCTGATGGATGGGCCTGGAATGGCCTTGTTTGCTGCCAGGGTGAGGCGCAGCAGCTGTTTAACAGCCCTGTGAGTGACCCTGGTCAGCACTTTCAAGGCAGGAAGCACAGAAGAATAGAGTCCACTTAAAGCTACCACAAAAGCGGTGGGAGGAGGGACTTCCTCCCCTTGTAAACAGGCCAGCAGGCTGGTCACTCTAATTACACATGTACAAATGAGGGAGAAGGGGGAAGGGAGGATGAATGGAAGCAAAACTGCTCTCAAGCAACCCTAGCGTGGCCCCTCGTTGCCCTCGAAGACAATTGAAACCTGCGACCCCGTGCACCTTGAACACAGGACACGGTAAGGTAAAGTCTCCACCCTGGGGCTTATGTGACAACATCCCAGCCTTTGCTGGTTTCCAGCTTTAGGAACCTTCAAGGATTCCTTTGGTCATCCTCAGAGGCCTCGGCAGAGCCTAAATCCTCTTCCTAATCCCTGCTGCTGGATGCCCTACTCAACTATACCCTCTGCTCCATGTCACTGTTGAAAGAAGAGGTGAAAAAAAAAGGAAGCCAAATTCAAATGGACTCTCACTGCCTCCTTTGACAGATCTGACATTTGTTTAAACAGGGCTAGGATGGGAGGGTCCTGTGCAGAAATGCAGCTTCTGGTGCACATATTCTACTTCTCCCATTCATCTGCTCCTTAGGGCACTCGTGACCCTGGTGCCTTTTCTCAGTCGGTTTAGTGAAATCATGTAAGATACTGGCCTATCACGTGCTGTGGTTTCTGAAGCAAGTCCACATTTTGCAAGACCGGAAGCATCTACAGTTTTTAAAATGCGAAGCGTTTACAAAATTATAAGTACAGATTAGTTGTGAGAACTTGAAAGGGGTCCATACAAGTGAAGGGTCCCAAAGCGTGTTTCATTAGCTTCTTGGTAAATCTGCTGCTGAGCATAAGGATGTGCATGAACGCCCCTTCTCCTTGAGTTTCGGCTTTCTGACAAAGTCCAAGCAAACTGACCCAAATCCAAAGTGTGTTCTAGGGAACCACTCACACCGTAAATGAGTCAGGAGGAACCGCCCTCTGAGTATGTTTCTTCTTTATTTTGCTTCCTCCCTTCCACCTAAATGCTGCAGATATTTATTGAGTCTGAGCCGGGGACTGCAGGAAGCTATCGGGTCTGTGTTGCCTGGTTTGCAAATGAGTGCAGCCCTGCTAATGAGCTCCTGGCCGGAGCAGGCAGCCTACTCCTGAGTCACTCCCCCTGGCAGGCACTGGACCAGCCTGCATCCCATGCCCACTGAATGCACGCACCAAATTACAAAAGAAAAGTAACAGCAGCAGTCATCTGCCCTTTCCTTTATATGAGAGCTAAAACTCCTGACTGAGGGGCCCTGGAACTTCTCGACCCTTAGCCACACCACAGCATACTGGGGTAATTCAGGGAAAAGAGCATGGGCTTAGGCCCAAAGATTTACGTGCTCAGCGTTGGTACTAACTGTGTGATGTGAGCAAGTCAGGAGGTCGTTCTGGGCCTGGATTCCTTCACCTGTGAAATGGAGCTGCAGAACTGAGCATCTCTGAGATTTGCTGTAGCCTGTGAATTCACGAGATTCCCATCTTGGGACTGGCCCTATTTATCTGAGCCATCACATTCCTTATACAGTTGCCAAGGCCTGTGCCTCACCAGAGCCAGCCTCCCTGGCTCCCACTGCCCGATCACCCTTCTTGCCCCAAACAAGACCCCTAGCTGATCAAGTTGCAGACAACTTTGTAACGAAATGGAAAAACAGGTGTTAGTGCACCAATTTTTGAAAGGGCATATTGAGACATGCCAGAGAGGCAAGGATTAAAGAATAGGAAAGGAAGAAAAAAACCAAGAACACAACTTTTTTGAGGAACTTGTCTTAGTATAGCCATGATGGCAATGTACAAAAAAATAGGAACACAAACGATTCAACACACAAAGAGGTCAGTGCCATGGCTGAGAGGAGGTATCCCCAGACCTGCTCGAGGGGGGCTTACATCTACCCAGCCAGAGGGGCAGGCTCCTGAGAGGCCAGGCCAGCAAGGAAAGATGCCCAGGGCCCATACCCAGCTCCTCTCTTCTTTCCAAAAATACACCACGCTCAGGTTGTTCCCAAAGCTCCAGGACAAGTCTCCAATTGCCTCCAGATTCATACCTGTACTTAACCTCTGCCTCTTAAATCACAAAGGGAAGAAGGTAAGTTCCTGTTCATTTTTGCTCTAAGACTCTGAAGTTCATCTCCCCCAGCCTTAGTCCCTTTGTATCTCTTGGTCTCCTTTCCCCTCTTCCCCTCTATACCTGAATGGCTCCTTCTGCTTTATGACCCCAGTAGGATTGCGACCTTCCTTTCCCACAGCCAGGGACATGTAAAACTATCCCTGTCCCCCCCTCTCCTCTTCCATATTCTTCAATGCTTTTGGCTCTGTTCTCAGGCTCACTCCAGCTCTCCCTCTCTTCACCCCACCCACCCGTCTTAATGCAATTCCTTGCAGAGGATGCTTCTCGAGGTGTTTAATAAACAGCATAGGTCATGACCTTGTCCTGAGGCCCCTTGTGACTGAGGTTTGTACAAATCTGATTTCATGGGCTGGTATTAAGTTGAGCCATACAAAATTGCCCTTATTCAACCATGTTGACGTCCAAAAAGAATGACAGTTTCGTAAGCCTCAATCTAATAAAAGAGCCTGGTATTCAAATATTAAAAACATATTATCTGACTTCCCACCTGCTCTCTTCCTAAATAGTACATATAAATTCAGAGTTGGGGGTGGGGGAAGAGAGCAGTGTGTTTTGTTTTCTGTAAAATGCAGTGTTTTTCAATTGCGGGCAATTTTGCCCCACCAGGGGATGTTTGGCAATGTCTGGAGATATTTTTGGTTGTAGCAGTGGAATGGAAGTGCTACCAGCATACAGGGGATAGAGGCCAGGAATGCTGCTAAACATCCTACAACGCACAGGACAGCCCCCACCGCCACCACCATGAATTCTGTATCCCAAATGTCAATAGCACCGCTGAGGTTGAGAAATCCTGGTGTCCAGCGCTACTGGGGACACAGAGCCTTAGCTGTACATTGAGTACCGCTACTTTGAAAACAGAGCTCCAGAACACATCAGGGAGGGCAGTGTGTTAGCCTCTGTCCTGAGGCAGGTCAGCACACCAGCTTCCCGCCCCCCAGGCCCACCTCTGGTCTAGAAACCTCCCCCCACACACCCCAGACCAGCCAATTCTCAAAAGGTTCTTCCTCCAGTTCTGCTCAGGAGCCTGACGTGATGGGCATTTTCTCAGTATCCCAAACCCCTGCCCAAATCCCTGAGTTAAGAACTGGGCTCCATTCCTGAAGCTCCCTGCAAGGGAAGGAAGGACACTCAACCGGTTCTTGCCACCCGACAGCATGCAAAGCTCTCCACAGGCAGTGATAGTCAGGCTCTAAAGACCAAAGCCCGCCCCTCCCAACCAGAAGAGAAAGCTCCCTCTGGCCAGCTGTGGTGGGCTCACGTTGCTTCCTGGAAGGGATTGAATGTCACTGCCCGTGATGGAACAGGGAGTTTCAGAGGCTCTGCAGCACAGTATCACTTACCCACCCCAGCTGCTGCCACTGCTCCCCACTAGGCAAAGAGCTCATCCAAAGAGCATGAGCAAACACAGTTCATGTTCGCTGAACACGAGCTATATTTGCCCTTAATATGCAACTGCCTTAGCTCTTTCCAGCTCTTTCTGTTGGCAGAAAGTCTGTATAAGGCTGAGGCACACTCACATTATTTGTGAACTTGAACCCAAAACACAGCCACAAAAATCACCCACTCAAAGCAATGGAAGGAATGTTGGGAATCATCTAAACAAGCCCAAATTGGAATTTCCAAAAATAACAGCATCAGAATATTTTGCTTCAAAAGATTCCTAATGAAAGAGACTCCTTGAACTCCTTGGAAAACCCTCCTTGGCATCACACAATCCTCAGAGGCAAAGACGTCTCCCTGCTGTCCCACCCTCTCCTGATCCAGCTGCAACTCAACACTTAGCAATAAAACAAGGGGGCGAAGGGGTGTGTTTCTGAAAATAAAACAGGAGACATATGATCCTGTTCCAATACTTAGTCTGTTCTCTGCTTTTCGGAACTTAAAACCTGCCTGCCGTCCACCAAATGACACAGAGTGCTGGCAGATGGAGAAGAGAGAGAAGGCTAAATGTATTTTAATAGGACCATTAGGATTATGTCAAAAGGTGAGAAAAAAGCACTTGCCAGCCAAGAAAATAAGCACTGGTCTCAAAGAAATATAGTGTGTTCCATCTCTCCCCCATTCACTCCCTCTTTGCTTTCTTATGAGAATCTAATTCAATAGGAGAGTCACTAGTCATGTGTAGCAGGCAAATGCATATTTTCTTAAGTCAAGCAATGTGGGCAGAAATATATGAAGGCAGAAAAAGAGTAGCACACTGGTATTGGGTAAGCCAAATGGGATCGGTCCAACTCTCAGACTAAAGCAGATTACAGAGTTATGACCTTACTCTTGACAAACAAACCAGTCATCCATATCTTCAACGCTAGTGTTAATAAAGAATCTCTTCTCTATGCTTCATAATACTGCCTATTAAGCCTTGGAAGTACACATAAAAGTTCAGAGCAGAACAGAGATTTTCATCTGAACCAGAAAATGTTCGATTTCTGGTTACTTTCTCAGACCTAACTCAACACCATTGAAGGGTAGACAGGACTTCAGTTCACTCCTGATTTTAGCAGATACCAGTGATTTAGTTCTCTATCCCAGGTAAGAAGCAGTTCCCCTGATCTTTGGCTTCTATTTGGTCTTCCTGGTGATAACAGTGAAAATAACCTACATTAGAATGGCTTTTTACCGTTCACCAGGCAATTTAACACACATCTCATGAGCTCCTCAAGGTAAGAAGAAAACCTGATATTTAAGTACGCTTACTATTCCCATTTCACAGATAAGGAAATTTCCCAAGAAATCGATGGGGAGAACCTATCTGTCATTGGTTGGGCTGGCAGAAGTCATCTTAGCAATTCTTGTGAAGAAACAGAGCCCCTTTAAGGGAGGCAGAGCTGCAACTAAAACGTAGCCATCTGGCCGGGCGTGGTGGCTCATGCCTATAATCCCAGCACTTTGGGAGGCTGAGGTTAGTGGATCACCTGAGGTCAGGAGTTCCAGACCAGCCTGACCAACATGGTGAAACCCCGTCTCTACTAAAAATACAAAAATTATCCAGGCATGGTGGTGGGCGCCTGTAATCCAGCTAGTCGGGAGGCTGAGACAGGAGAATCACTTGAACCCGGAGGCGGAGGCTGCAGTGAGCCAAGATCACGCCACTGCACTCCAGCCTGGGCGATAGAGCAAGAATTGGTCTCGAAAATAAATAAATAAAATAAAAATAAAACATAGGCATCTGCCTCTGCCCAACAACATTCTTCAGTTCCATAAATCTTACATTGCCTGGGTAGTGATTTGCTCTAAAATACTTCATTATTAACAATGTGATATTTGTGTGTGTGTGTGTGTGTGTGTGTGTGAATTATAATCTGTGCCCTAGAGATAGTTAGCATTTGATCTTTACCAATCACAGATACCCCAAAGGTGCTACAAGAGTGCATTAAAAAAAAACCCAATGAAGAGGCCGGGCACAGTGGCTCACACCTGTAATCTCAGCACTTTAAGAGGCAGGCAGATCACTTGAGGTCAGGAGTTTGAGACCAGCCTGGCCAGCATGATGAAACCCCATCTCTACTAAAAATATAAAAATTAGCCGGGCTTGGTAGCACCTGCCTGTAATCCCAGCTACACAGGAGGCTGAGGCATGAGAATCTCTTGAACCCAGGAGGCGGAGGTTGCAGTGAGCCAAGATCTCGCCACTGCACTCCCGGGTGACAGAGCAAGACTCCATCTCAAAAAAAAAAAAAAAAAAAAAAAAAAAGAAAGTCCACACCATAGGCTTCATTATTAGCATTAAAGATGACACTTTGTTCTTCCTTTGTGAAGTGGTTACAGTGCAACATATGGTTGAGAGAAAAATTGCTCAGGTACTACCACCCCATATGAATAAGGCATATGAATCCTGTAAGTCTTAATCTCAAAATTTTAAAAACAACATAGTGGGCCTTCAACCCTGCTGAGGCCTATGCCACCCTATTCACAGGGAACATTGTCACCTGATTCCAAGACAGGGCAACAATGTCACTTCAGAATGAACCTATGATGCAATGTACTTGTCCCTGTGCCAAAGGACAAAGAGTGCCACATCACCAACCTACAGGAACCTGTACATCAATGTTTGGTCTAAGACTTGGCTTTCGGCTGGGTGCGGTGGCTCACGCCCGTAATCCCAGCACTTTGGGAGGCCAAGGCAGGTGGATCACGAGGTCAGGAGATCGGGACCATCCTGACTAACACGGTGAAACCCCATGTCTACTAAAAACAAATAGCCGTGAGTGGTGGTGGGCGCCTGTAGTCCCAGCTACTCGGGAGGCTGAGGCAGGAGAATGGCATGAACCCAGGAGGCGGAGCTTGCAGTGAGCCGAGATCGCACCACTGCACTCTAGCCTGGGCAACAGAGCAAGACTCCGTTACAAAAAAAAAAAAAAAAAAGACTTGGCTTTCAACCTGACCATGAGGCTGTGGCTGTGGAGGATGGGCTGTGTAACCTCCACCTGTCTTTTAATTGCCAGAGGCTGCCAACATTGACCAGATGAATCTGACAATTGCTAAAATGCCATAGTGATCAGTTTACAACCAATATTAGGGACCTCCTGTGCACTCACAATGGCCTCGGCTCCGTGCAAGATGCAGAGATGGGCTAAACAGGACACAACACCGTAAGGCCTGGCAACCCAGGAGAGGAGTTAAGACAGTAAGCCCAGAGGTTAAGCACAGGAACTCCACACCCCAATTGGAAGTGCAAAAACAAATGTTAAAAGTATTCAGACGGCCAGGCGCGGTGGCTCACACCTGTAATCCCAGCACTTTGGGAGGCGGAAGCGGGTGGATCACCTGAGGTCAGGAGTTCAAGGCCAGCCTGGCCAACATGGTGAAATCCCATCTCTACTAAAAATTCAAAAAATTACCTGGGCATGGTGGTGGGCGCTTGTAATCCCAGCTACTCGGGAGGCTGAGGCAGGAGAATCGCTTGAACCCAGGAGGCGGAGGTTGCAGTGAGCCGAGATCATGCCATTGTACTCCAGCCTGGGCAACAAGAGCGAAGCTCTGTCTCAGGGGAAAAAAAAAAAGTATCAGACAAGCAAGAGACATGCCTGCCTCTGCTGATATTCCTGTCCCTGTTGCTCACCTGAACACTCTGGCAAACTAGAGAAAGAGTGGGCGTGGCCTGCAAAGGAGAGGTGGCGCAGGTCTGTAATCTTAGAGCTTTGGGAGGCTGAGGCAGGAGGATTGCTTGAGGCCAGGAGTTCAAGACCAGCTTGGGCAACATAGAGAGAACCACATCTCTACAAAAAATAAGAAATTAGCCAGGCATTGTGGGGCACACCTGTGGTCCCAGCTACTTGGGAGGCTGAGGTAGAAGGATCCCTTGAGCCCAGGAGGTCAAGGCGCAGTGAGCTATGATCCCACCACTGCACTCCAGCCTGGGTGGCAGAGGGAGACCCTATCTAAAAAACAACAACAACAACAACAAAAACTGGAAATCTCCCAGCAGCAGAAGGTGGTGGTGAAGAAGATAAGAACAAAAGAGAAGAAACTGACATGAAATCTTCTCAAAAAAGGATGGGTTAATGGGCAAGAGGATACTAGAATTGGGAAAAATCAGGAAAAATGGTCATCCACATACCACCTTCAAAATGTGTGCCACATCCAATTCTACCTGCCACTTTCATCTTTAAATCAATTCACATTTTATATTTAAATATTCTGATGTTAAGTACAAATTTTGAACACTAATGGGGAAGGGAAAAACCAATGTCACTTGCCATAAACACAAGGCAGCCAGAAAAATAAACATAATGGAGAAAATGTTCTAGATTCCAGCAAGCTCCTGAAAGCTGAGAGCCTGGGAATTGCTCCCTCTTTACTTACCAGAAGAACGATGATGAGGAAGAAGAAGAGAAAGCCGATAGAAAAGGAGAAGAAGAATTGGTGTCAGAGAAGTGTTCAAGACATTTTAGGACTAAGCTGAGGCTCTCTGATCTAATCAGTGGGCATAAAAGGGAATTGAAAGATACTGCCTTCTTGCTGTGCTATTTAGTATATTATTTAATTTCCTGGTGTGACCTCTTGCAGTCACCTCCGACTCCCATGTTAAGGGGTCCCTAGTTTCCCTCCAAGCTGGATGCTATCAAACAGAAGACCCTAAGCTGTCTTCCCAGGACAGGTAATCCACCCCAAGCACTTGGAAAAGAAAGGTACATCCTCTTCCACAATAACCACTGCACAGATTCATTTTCTTGTAAAATGCAAGGGCCATTTAGAAATAATGACGTGTATTCTTTGAAATAAGTACCAGATCAACTTTTGTCTTTTGTTTTTTCTTTTGAGACGGAGTCTCGCTCTGTTGCCCAGGCTGGAGAGCCATCATGGGATCTCGGCTTACCGCAAGCTCCGCCTCCCGGGTTCACGCTATTCTCCTGCCTCAGCCTCCCGAGTAGCTGGGACTACAGGCACTCACCACCTCGCCCGGCTAATTTTTTGTATTTTTAGTAGAGACGGGGTTTCACCGTGTTAGCCAGGATAGTCTTGATCTCCTGACCTCGTGATCCACCTGCCTCGGCCTCCCAAAGTGCTGGGATTACAGGCATGAGCCACCGCGCCCAGCCAGTACCAGGTCAACTTTTAACCCCAGAAATCTCCCTTTAAGATGATCTCCAACCCTTTGCAGCTGTAAAATCCTTTAATAATACATCAACTGATTGCGTATCAATTGGATCAGGATAGGAGAAAGCCCTGTTGAAGTCCCATTCTTCAAAATATCTGAAAGCAGGCATTAGGAGTTGACACTGGCAGGCAGTTGAGCAGGACAAAACCATAAGGAAAAGTCAGCAGAAGAGGATGAAAGTTTACCTTCTGGGAATGGCCAGGGGAGGAACCCATAGCAGATCAGATATAAGATTCAAATCACAGCCTCCCGGAGGTAGCCAAGTGGCCCCAACCCTGGAAACTTAGCACTTGGCTTTAAAGACTTATAATTCCCTGGTGCCAATACCAGATAAGAAAAAGGCTGATTGGCCCCTGGTTGGCCCAGTGAGTGGGTTAGAAGAGACACACCTAGAACCACAAAGTTAGGTGTGGCTGACGAATTACTAATACATTGAATAGGCATACAACTGGGCCCCACACCCCATCTTAAATCAACAATGCAAGACCTGCACACAGAGACTCAACCCCTCCCTCCAAAATGCCCTTTCCTCTCCTCCAAAACCCCATCACCCACTCTACAGATCTCAGCTGAAGCCCTGAGTGACTAATACACAGATTGGTTAGGACCACTTGCATTTAAATGCTGTCACTCAGAGTAAGATATTCTGTTATTTACTCACCAAATCTTTTTGGGTTGTTTTTTGTTTTTGAGTTTTTTGTTTTTGTTTTTGTTTTTGTTTTGAGACAGAGTCTCACTCTGTTACTTAGGCTGGAGTGCAGTGTCATGGTCTGAGCTCACTGCAACCTCCGCCTCCCTGGTTCAAGCAATTCTCCTGCCTCAGCCTCCCGAGTAGCTGGGACTACAGGCGCCCACCACCACACCCAGCTAATTTTTATATTTTTAGTAGAGACGGGGTTTCACTACGTTGGCAAGGCTGGTCTTGAACTCCTGACCTCAGGTGATCCACCTGCCTCAGCCTCCCAAAGTGCTGGGATTACAGGCATGAGCCACCATGCCTGGACTCACCAAATCTTTTTGGCAGGTTACTGGGAGCCAGGGGCTGTGCTGCCTGCTGTCTGGTGTTCTCAAAGACTTCCCAAGCCACAGAGAGGTCTCAGTAAGGACACAGGTGTATGGGAAGAAAACCTTTTTACCTCTACCCTCCTAGGTTATTGACTAGTGCCCTATAAACTAAGCTGATAAAAGACAGATTCATGAGAGAAAAACCAACAGGAGTTTGTAAACCTGTGCATCTTCCTTACATATGAGAGCACCCAGTGAGGAGCAACTCACAGGGGTGGTTAGAATTTGGGGTCTACTGGCCAGGCACCGTGGCTCACACCTGTAATCCCAGCACTTTGGGAGGCCGAGGTGGGTGGATTGTTTGAGGTCAGGAGTTCAAGACCAGCCTGGCCAACATGGTGAAACCCCGTCTCTACTAAAAATACAAAAATTAGCCAGGCATGGTGATGGGCGCCTGTAGTCCCAGCTACTCAGGAGGCTGAGGCAGGAGAATCACTTGAATCTGGGAGGTGGAGGTTGCAGTGAGTCAAGATTGCGCCATTGCACTCCAGCCTGGGAGACACAGCAAGACTCTGTCTCAAAAAAAAAAAGAATTTGAGGTCTATGTACCTAACTTACTGGAGGAAGGGTTGGGGAGAGAGGGCACTAATGGAAAAGCAAATGACTTTTGGAAGGAGAAATGGGCTCCTAGGAGAATGGATGAGAGATTTGAGAGTTTGATGACAATATCTGTTTGGGTGTGGTGCTGAGTTCTAGACTCTGAGAAGAGATTACTGAGTTGCTCTTGGGAGGGGATTTATGACAATTGAGTTTTTTTGAGAGGCTCTGCCTTTTGGAAGATAAAAGATTTTGGGGGGACTGAGCACGGTGGCTCACACCTGTAATCTCAGCACTTCAGGAGGCTGAGGCAGGAGGATCATTTGAGGCCAGAAATTCAAGAGTAGCCTAGGCAATATAGCAAGCCCCCATCTGTTAAAAGAAAAACTAGAAGACGAAGAATTTATCTTAAATGTTTTAAAAGACTTTTTATTTCTTTTCTTTCTTTTCGTTTTTTTTTTTTTTAATAGAGACAAGGTCTTGCTATGCTGCCCAGGGTGGTCTCAAACTCCCGGCCTCAAGTGATCTTCCCGCCTCAGCCTGTCAAAGTGCTGGGATTACAGGTGTGAGCCACCATGCCCAGCCTAAAGATTTTTTTCTTTCAATCCCTCCAGCTCAATTCTTCTGTCAAAGTGGTATATTTGGGGAGGCATGCCCTAGTCCCCTCTCAGGCCAGGCCTGCTCCCTCCAGCTGTCACACAAACACCTCCCAGGCGCTCCACACAGGGGGCCTGCCAGCCACAGCACCCCAGAGAAACTTCAGGCTCACAGAGAGGGCCCCCTGTCTTGACTAGACCGAGGCAGGGGAGGGTGTAGGTGACTTCACCGGAGCTTCATGCACAGAATGTTGGACTCCTCGTCCCCTGAGATATGGTGTTATCTATGACAGGCCAGAGGGCCACTTTTCCAGGGCCAAACAGAGAATTTCCACTCTCTAGCCTGTCAGGCCAACACCTTTTGCCAGCTTGAGGTTCATAGACTTTCGAAAAGAAAAAAAAAGAAAAGAAAAGAAAAAAACCAGAAGAGGCCATATGCATGCCTCCCACTCACCCACCCTAGGAAAAAGGGAAGCCTTTTATTCTCCTTATGCCAAACTGTGTTTTGCTGGGAGAAGCTTCTTTTCACCAAAGCCTCCAGGCTCTTTACCAGCCAGAGTCAAACAAAGAAGCTCAGAGAACCATGGAACAAATAAACCAAAACAGCCCACAGAGAACAAGGAAAGGAAAGCCTCCGTTTCCAAACGGAAGCCAACTTCCATCTAGCCTGTCTCACTGAGCCTGGCCTGGCACAGCCCCTGATGAAGCCAGCAAGGGCTGCACTGTCTTCTCTTTGCAGCCTCTGAGAGCCTTGTGAGTGTCAGCCTAAAGAATCCATCCGCAGGACGGGTCTTCTCTCCCCACCCCCCTTAAAATTATTAACATCCACTTAAAAGAAAGGGGGCGGGAGTGGGGTGCAGGGTTTGCCCTCTTTTCAAATTGCTTGAGAAGGGAGTACTGCTTATCACAACAGGTGCACTGGCCACTCACAAAAAAACAGGCAGTGCAGCGCTGAAAGGCTAAGAAATTACTTGTTCTCTTTGTAACGGCTGCTACTACATGCCATGCAAACCCTGCTTTGGAGAGATATTGTGTTCCTGTTTAAAAAAGAAAGAAAGAAATATAGCAAGTGGAAAAAAGTTTAAGGGTGCCAAGGGCTAAGGGGAGGGGAGAACAAGGCTGAGGGTGGGAAGGCCAGAGGGGGAGGGCTTGGTGTTCCGAGGCAATTGAGGAAAAGCAATGGGGCCTGGTGGCTGGACTTAAAAGGTGTGTGTGTGGCTTGTTTTGTTTTGTTTTGTTTTGAGACAGGGTCTTGATCCATCACCCAGGCCGGAGTGCAGTGGCACGATCTCAGCTCACTGCAACCTCTGCCTCCGGGTTCAAGTGATTCTCCTGCCCCAGCCTCCCTAGTAGCTGGGATTATATGTGTTTACCACCACGACCGGCTAATTTTTGTATATTTAATAGAGACAGGCTTTCGCCATGTTGGCCAGGCTGGTCTCGAAACCCTGACCTCAGGTGATCCACCCACCTCGGCCTCCCAAATTACTGGGATTACAGGCGTGAGTCACCATGCCCGGCCAAAATGATCTGTCTTGAACTTTCCAGAAAACTCTGGGAGCACACCCCAGGTCCCTTCGGCAGGATGGGAGGGATAATTACACCCAAGCTTGCAAAACGCACACATCAGGGTGACCAGAGAAAAGTCATAAGGAAAGGATACCCCCTGTATATTTTTAAAAATTAGATAAAAATATTGCTCAGAAACTGTGTTGCACACCAGGGAGGATTTCAACCCCCAGTCAGTCACTCCTTAAGTGGGAGTGTGTCTTCAAAACTATATTCCTCAAATGACTGTTCAGCCAGGCAGGTGACTTTTATGGTGTTGGCCAAGTGACCTTGAGCTTCTGAGTCTCCCAACCCTCTGACATTCTCATCCTGTGCTCTCAGACCTGCAGAGAGGACCCAGCCAGCTTCATGGGGACAAAGCAGTGAGGGAGTTGCTCTCCCCCAAGCCAAGTGCAGACTGACAGGGAAGATTTGGATTTTCTTCCCCTTGAGAAAATTGCCATAAGAATCTGGAAGAGGGTTATTTGTTTTGTTTTAAAGTAAAAGCAAGACAGTGGACGTCATGGCCTAAGAACCTGTTCCCTTGCCAGTTCGGTCTCAACTAAGCAATCAGAAGATAGGGCCACCAGCCACAAAGCAACTTGGACATTGGAGTTTTGCAATGATTCTCTGATTAAAAGGAGCGACCTCGACCTGGCTGTAAGACATGGAAGAGCAGCCATGATAGGTTATTAAGGTCAAAGAAAAAGTAGCAGTAGTGTGGCGAGCATGAATCCATTTTTGTTTACTATATATTGATCTTTTTTCTTTTAGTCTTGCAGAGAAATCTGAGAACCAAAACCCTCTAACTAAGCATATAGCTTTGGATGCTGAGGACTAAAATGACCCCACCACACCTCCCACAAACCCCCAGCTAACATGAACTTGACTTCACTGCTCCATCATCCTCATTAGCATGATTTTCCCATTCCTGCAGACTCTAGTGGTAACTGTCGTGATTGTCCATGACAGGAACTTCCAGAAGGCTCATTAACTCTTCCATGGAAAACAGAAAACAGATGGTGTGAGCCCTAAAATGTTTGAGCCCCTCACCTCAGAATCCTCACCTCACTGTTTCCATCAATCCTGGACAATTGCATCATGATCCTTACCCAATCCTAATCAAGCCTCCACACTGCAAAGACATGCCTTAAACTAAATTTCCGCTTCTCAATCCATTTCCACCTTGCCACCCACTCCGGAGACACTGTCAGAGCTGTGACTAAGTGGTGTCTCCCTGACCACAGTAAACACAGGTTTGTGTTGGTGACATTGGGAGACCCAGCGTTCCACTGAAGGGTCCCTGTGAAGAGTCTTTTTGTTTAATTTTATTTTTTCCAAACTCCCCTCTGCTGCCTAAAAGCAGAGCCTCCCAAAAGAATTCATCTGTCAGCCAGGCACAGTGGCTCACACCTGTAATCTAAGCACTTCAGGAGGCCGAGGCAGGTGGATCACCTGAGGTCAGGAGTTTGAGACCAGCCTGGCCAACATGGTGAAACCTTGTCTCTACTAAAAATACAAACAAAATTAGCCAGGTATGGTGGCAGGTGCCTGTAATCCCAGCACTTGAGGAAGCCGAGGCAAGTGGATCATCTGAGGTCAGGAGTTCCAGACCAGTCTGGCCAATGTGGTGAAACCCTGTCTCTACTAAAAATACAAAACAAAACAAAACAAAACAAAACAAAAAAATTAGCCAGGCATGGTGGCGCACACCTGTAATCCCAGCTACTCAGGAGCCTGAGGCAGGAGAATCGCTTGAACCCAGGAGGCAGAGGTTGCAGTGAGCCGAGATCACACCACTGCACCCCAGCCTGGGTGACAGGGCAAGACTCTATCTGAAAAAAAAAAAAAAAAAGAGTAGACTTTGACATTCCAAAGGGGTGTATACCCAGGTCTTCATAAATTCTCATATTCAATTTCTCCCATGAAACTTCTAGTCTTTCTAAGAACAATATTCATCAAATCTCCTCACTGCATTGGCAGCACTAGTGGTTACATTTTTTTCTAGGGCCTTTTTTTTTTTGCCTTTTCTTTTTCTTTTTAAATTAATTATTAGACTTTTTATCATTTTTAAATATTAACTTGATAACTGTACACATTTATGGAGTACAATGTGATATTAACATAATTGTACATATTTATGGAGTACAATGTGATATTTCAAAAAATGTATACAATGGGTAATGATTGAATGAGAGTAATTAGTATATCCATTACCTCAAACGTTCATCATCTCTTTGTGTTGGGAACATTAAAAAATCTGCTCTTCATGGTGGCTCACGCCTGTAATCCCAACACTTTGGGAGGCCGAGGCAGGAGGACAGCTTGAGGCCAGGAGTTTGAGACTAGCCTGGATAACATAGCGAGACTCTGCCTCTTCTTTTTAGCCAAAGTGGTGTCTCACACCTGTAGTCCTAGCTACTTTGGAGGCTAAGATGGGAGGAACACTTGAGCCTAGGAGTTCAATTTTGCAATGAGCTGTGGTTGTGCCACTATACTCCAGCTTGGGCAACAGACAGACATCTTGTCTCAAAAAAAAAAAATTAATTTTTAAAAAATCTGTTCTTCTAAGTATTTGAAAATATAAAATAAATTATTGCTAATTATAGTCACTCTGCAGTGCTGTAGAACACTAGAACTTATTTTTCCTGTCCAGCTATAATTTTATATCCATTAACCAATCTCTGGCTAATCCCTCTTTCCTCTTACCCTTCCCTGCCTCTAGTAACCATTATTCTATTCCACTTTCACGTGATCAACTTTTTTAGCTCCCACATATGAGTGAGAACATATGTGGTCTTTATCTTTCTGTCCTGGCTTATTTCACTTAATATAATGCCCTCCAAGCTCATTCATGTTACTGCAAATGACAGAACTTTGTTCTTTTTATGGCTAAATAGTATTCCATTGTATATTATAGCACATATTCTGTATCCATTCATCTGTTGGTGGACACTTAGGTTGATTCCATATCTTGGCTATTGACAATAGTGCAGCAGTAAGCATGGGATTACAGATGACTCTCTGACACGCTGATTTTCTTTCCTTTGGATATACCCCCAGGAGTGTAATTGCTGGTCATATAGTAGTTCTGTTTTGGGATTTTTGAGGAATCTCCATATTGTTTTCAATAATGGCTGTACTAATTTACATTCCCACCAATAGTGGGAACAAAGAGTTCCTTTTTCTATGTGTCCTTGTCAGCATTTGCTATTTTTTGTGTTTTTTATATTAGCCATTCTAACAGCAATGAGATATCTCATTGTGGTTTTGATTTGCATTTCCCTAACGATAAGTAATGTTGAGCATTTTTTCATATACCTGTTGGCTGTTTGTATGTCTTCTTTTGAGAGATGTCTATTCAGCTCATTTGCCCATTTTTTTAAATCAGATTTTTTTTTTCTGCTGAGTTGTTTGAGTTCTTTGTAAAAACTGGATATTAATCCCTTTTCAGATGAACACTTTGCAAATATTTTCTCCCATTCTACAGATTGTCTCTTCTTCACTCTGTTGATTGTTTCCTTTGCTGTGCAGAAGCTTTTCATTTGATATAATCCATTTGTCTATTTTTGCTTTTGTTGTCTGTGCCTTTTTTTTTTTTTTTTTTTTTTTTGACGGAGTCTTGCTTTGTCCCCAGGCTGGAGTGCAGTGGCGCGATCTTGGCTCACAGCAACCTTTGCCTCCCGGGTTCAAGCGACTCTCTTGCCTCAGGCTCCCGAGTAGCTGGGACTACAGGCACGCACCACCACGCCCAGCTAATTTTTGTATTTTTAGTAGAGACGAGGTTTCACCATGTTAGACAGGATGCTCTCGATCTCTTGACCCCATGATCCACTCACCTCGGCCTCCCAAAGTGCTGGGATTACAGGCGTGAGACAACGTGCCCGGCCTTGTTTTGTTTTTAGCTCCAAGAATTCACCTGGATTGTTGTTTGTGCTTTGGAGGTCTTCTTTGCCCAGACCAATGTCTTAAAACATTTCACCTATGTTTTCTTCTACTAATTTCATAGATTGGGGTCTTACATTAAACTTTATCTTTTAGGACTGTTTTATTTATAGAAAAATTGAGGACACAGTAAAGAGAATTTCATATATCCCCCATGCTCACCACACACCCTGTTTCCCCTACTATTAACAACTTGCATTAGTATGGTACATTCATTACAACTAATGAACCAATACTGATACATTATTATTAACTAAAGTCCGTACTTTATTCAGATTTCCTTAGTTTTAACCAAGTGTCCTTTATGTCCTTTTTCGGTTCCAGAATCCCTCATAGGAAATCATGTTTAACACACACACACACACACACACACACACACACACACACACATATACATATATATACTTTTTTTTTTTTTTTTTTTTGAGGCAGGGAGGCAAGGTCTCAGTCTGTCACCCAGGCTGGACTGCGTTAGTCCAATCACAGCTCACTGCAGCCTCGACCTCCCAGGCTCAAGCAATCCTCCCACCTCAGCCTCCTGAGTAGTTGGGACCACAGGCACAAGCCACCACACCCGGCTCATTTCTGTATTTTTAGTAGAGACAGGGTTTTGCCATGTTGCCCAGGCTGGTCTCAAACTCCTGGACGCAAGCAGTCTTCCTGCCTCAGCCTCCCAAAGTGCTTGGGATTACAGGTGTGAACTACCATGCCCAGCAACCACATTACATTTAATTGCTCTGTCTCCTTAGGCTCTTCTTGGCTGTGAAAATACATCAGACCTTCCTTGTTTCTGATGACGATGGGATTTTTGAAGAATACTGGTCAGGTATTATGTAAGATGTGCCCCTGTAAGAATTTTCTGTTTTTCTCATAATTAGACTAGGGTTATGAGTTTGAAGGAGGAAGATCCCAGAGGTAAAGTGCCATTTTTGTCATATCATATTAAGGACACAAATGATCAGCCTGATATCTCACTGCTGATGCTGATTCTGATCACCTGGCTGAAGTTATACTTGACAGATTTTTCCAAAGTTACTCTTTTTTCTGCCTTTCTGTAACTGTCGTCTTTGGAAAGAAGTCACTACGAGCTGGTCACACTTAAGGAGTGGGGAGTTAAGCTTCCCCTCATTGAGGGCAGGGTACGTATATAAATTATTTGGAATTTTTCTGCACAGGAGGTTTGGCCCTTCATCCGCATTTATTAATTTACTTAGTCATTCACTTATGTTCATATGGACTCATGGATATTTACTTTATATGTTGGATTGTAATTCAGTATTGCTTTATTTACTTTGCTTCTCAAATCGTTGCAACTTTCACCACTGGGAGCTCTTTCCTTTGGCCCCTGTGACCCTTTGACATACCCCCCAATATCGTGGGTACCCAGGGAGGTTTTGGTTTTGGGCTTTTTTGGTTCTGTTTTGTTGAGCACTGCCTTAACTTGCAGGCACTGCAATATGTTCCATCTCATCTTGTATATTTCCTGCCCCAGCCATAGAATCAGTCATTTCTACAAGGAGCTCCAGGGCCATTTTTCACAAAGAATTTGAGTTTCCATCACAAAACAAAAGAGTTACAGTGCAGACAAGGCCAGTAGAGAATAAAGCAGAATTGAGAGGCTGATGAAAGCTGGATGATCCATCTGCTGGGCACCCTCATTAGACTGACTTTTGCTGCCCACACCCCACCCTTATCCTGGTGGCAAATGTGATTCAAGTTCATGCCTCAATTTTTTTTTTTTTTTGAGATGGAGTTTTGCTCTTTTTGCCCAGACAGTAATGCAATGGCGCGATCTCGGCTCACCGCAACCTCCGCTTCCCAGGTTCAAGCAATTCTCCTGCCTCAGCCTTCGGAGTAGCTGGGACTACAGGCGCGTGCCACCACGCCCAGCTAATTTTTGTATGTTTAGTAGAGACGGGGTTTCGCCATGTTGGCCAGTATGGTCTCGATCTCCTGATCTTGTGATCCAGCCGCCTCAGCCTCCCAAAGTACTAGGATTACAGGCGTGAGCCACAATAATTCTTTTGACTTATCATTATATAGCCCATTTCCTCTGGACTCTATTAGGAGCAATTGAATTCTTGCTAAAGAATGAATGACTGATATCCTAGAGTTGGCTTCCTAATTACGTATGTATTTTAATAAAGATCTGTGAATTTTTAAAGAAGCCCTAAGGGGAGCATTTCAGACAGTAAGGCAGTATAGTAGGAGACATTTTTGAGAAGACAGGCTTTTTCCTATTGTGACAGTAAAATACAATTATTTCAGCAATAATTATTATAATAATATAAATAAGAAATATAAGGCCGGGTACAGTGGCTCACACCTGTAATCTCAGCACTTTGGGAGGCTGAGGTGGGTGGATTGCTTGAGTTCAGGAGTTCAAGACTGGCCTGGGCAACATGGCAAAACCCTGTCTCTACAGGAGTGTCCCACAAAAAAAAAATTTGTAGTGCTTGCCTGTAGTCTCAGGTATTCGGTAGGCTGAGGTAGGAGGATCACCCAAGACAGGGAGTTTGAGGCTGCTGTGAGCTATGATGCCACCACTGCACTCCAGTCTGGGTGACAGAGTGAGACCCTGTCTTGAAAAAGAAAAGAAAAGAAATATAATACTATGAACCAGTTTCTATTGTAAATTGTTAGTGCCTCACATATACTAACTCAGTTAATTTAATCATCATAACAAGCCTACGAGGTAGATACTATTATCATCCACATTTCACAAAAATTAAAGCAACTGAGGTTCAAAGAGGTTAAAAACCTTTCCCAGGTTGCACAGCTTGTAACTGGCAAAGCTAGGCTCTAAATGTAGCCATTCTGGCTCCAAAGTCCATGCTGTTAAACAATATACTGCCTCTGGATACCATAATTTCTATAGTCAGTAGACCTGGAGCATATTTAATATTAATTTCTACATATATTGATTAAGGATCTGTCCTTGGCCAGGTTCTATCTCAAACAGATGTTAGAAGAGTGCATTTTTTTTTTTTTTTTTTTGACAGTCTCGCTCTGTCGCCCAGGCTAGAGTTCAGTGGCGCGATCTCGGCTCACTGCAAGCTCCGCCTCCCGGGTTCACACCATTCTCCTGCCTCAGCCTCCTGAGTAGCTGGGACTACAGGTGCCCGCCACCATGCCCGGCTAATTTTTTTGTATTTTTAGTAGAGACGGGGTTTCACCGTGTTAGCTAGAATGGTCTCAATCTCCTGACCTCGTGATCTGCCCGCCTCGGCCTCCCAAAGTGCTGGGATTACAGGCATGAGCCACCGCGCCCAGCCGAGGAGTGCATTATTCCACTGTCGCATGCATATTCAAAGGCTCACACTCAAAGCCCTGTACAATGTCTTCCTTTTTCAGCCTCAAACATCCCACTGCAACCCACATGTATCAGCCACAGGGGCTTGTGGGCCATTCTTCAACATACCTTTGTGCTCTCCTGCCTCTAAGTGTTTGTTCAAGCTGCTACTAATAGGTCCCTCCTTTTCCTACTACTCTGGCGAAATTCTTTCGTAAGGCCCAGCCCTAGTCCTGCCTTCTCCATAAAGTTTCCTGAGCCCCGGCCAGACGCAGTGGCTCACGCCTGTAATCCCAGCACTTTGGGAGGCCGAGGTGGGCAGATCACCTGAGGTCAGGAGTTTGAGACCAGCCTGACCAATATGGTGAAATCCCATCTCTACTAAAAAAACAAAAATGAGGCCAGGCCCGGTGGCTCATGCCTGTAATCCTAACACTTTGGGAGGCTGAGGCGGGTGGATTGCCTGAGCTCAGGAGTTTGAGACCCGCCTGGGCAACAATGGCGAAACTCTGTCTCTACTAAAATACAAAAAATTAGCCGGGCGTGGCAGCGTGCACCTATAGTACCAGCTACTCGGGAGGCTGAGGCAGGAGAATCGCTTGAACACAGGAGGCGGAGGTTGCAGTGAGCTGAGATCGCACCACTGCACTTCAGCCTGGGAGACAGAGCGAGACCGTCTCAAAAAAAAAAAAAGTTTTCTGGGCCCTTTGATGAAATTTCTCTCTACTTCCCTTGTACTTATATATATTGTCTCCGTACATCTATTATAGCTGCCTCATGGATGATGAGCTTCTTATAAAAGATAGTATCTTTTTCATCTTCTTACATCTCCAGCACTAGCACATACATACAGAACATGGTCAAATATAGTGAGAGCTCTAAAATTGTCTGCTAAAATGGATAAACAGCATACATTGGGTGCCCACTGGGAGCCTAACCATATCTTAGAGAAGATACACTTCCACTTTTCAAGGAGCTGATGGCCTAATCGAAGAGCCACAGAGAAAAGAACAACCATCCAAACTACGCTGATAGGCAGCAAGATAAAGCTGTCCCGTTGCTGAAACATAGCAACTAGACACAGAAGAGCCGGGATTTAGTCCTAGCTACAATGCAAACTGTGTGCACTTGGGAAAGTAGTATTATTCTTCTGAGCCTCAGTAAAAGGGGGACTGACGGTGTGCAGGTTTCTCGCAGTTCTAATACCTATGATTAGTCTACGAGCAGATTGGCAATTGCCAAGAATGCTTTCTGAAGAGCGTGGTAGGGTTCAGGACAGGCTACCCCAAAATATGGCACCTTGACATTTGAGAAAATAGCAGAAGGAGGAAGGTCCCTCTCCCCTTATCCCCACTGCCCTTCTCCCCTGAAGCAGGTCATGAGACCCTCATTCAAGAGGTACCCTTGCTGTATCCTGAAGAAAGGAACATCCTTGTCTCTGAAAACACAAGGACATGGAGAAGAATCTAACTAACAGGCCTGGCTAAGTTTCCCCCAGTTTATTATCCCTTTGTCCAATCATATTTCTGCAAGACCATCTACTTCATCTAATCTAAGCATAACAATATGCAAGATTACCTGTTTCTTGGAGTCTTCATTTCTGAGGTTGCTGTATCATGTAAAACTTTTTTATTTTATTTTTTTAAATAGAGACAGGGTCTCACCATGTTGCCCAGGCCGGTCTTCAGCTCCTGGGCTCAAGTGATCCTTCCACCTCAGCCTCCCAAAGTGCTGGGATTTCAGGCATGAGCCACTTCACCCAGGCATATAATACCGACATCAAATAAATTTGTATGCTTTTCTCCTATTAATCTGTCTTTTATTATATTATAAGGGCCTCAGTCATGAACCTAGCAATGGGTGAGAAAAAGAAATCTTTCCTCCACTATGAGTGCATCCTACAAGAGAGATGTGGCAAACTCTAACTCCTGAAATGAAGGTGCCTTGGAAGCAACTAATTATCATACAAAATGAAATCAATAAAATATGAACACATACTCGAAGTCACACAGTATTATAATGACAGATCAAGTGGAGAGGGGAAAGTCTAGATGCAGCCCAGAAGGCGAGCTGGGAAGGAAGCAATGATTAGGGTTTACCCATCCATGAACCTGGCCACAGTCACACCATCATTAGAATGACACACTCAAGGCCAGAGCGCAAGTGCCACCTGCCCTTCACTTAGCCTGAAGTCTCCCTGACACCCTCCCAGCTACTTTCACTCTCATACCCTGAAAACTGAACAACATTCTAATGACTAGTTTTGCTTTCCAGTTTCTGGTGTAATGAGACAGAGGAAATTTTTCTTCCTTAGCAGCTGGAATAAGACCTCCTCTTAGGGACAGTCCTATATTTACCAGGAAGAAATCCACTGATTAGCCAGATGGGTTGAGGAATGAGATGCCAAGCAATAAACAATAATGCCGATCTGCTTTCTCGGGAATTCCCAACACCTTAGGGTCTTTTATTTTGTGAGCATTTCAGTGGGTTTGAGTAGGTAAACTTGACTATGAATATGGTCACAGTTAAATTGCTCTGCATAATGAAAATGTAAAGAATTTTAAAATTACAGGAAAGGGTCAGGTGCGGTGGCTCACGCCTGTAATCCCAGCACTTTGGGAGGCCAAGGCAGGTGGATCACCTGATGTCTAGAGTTCAAGATCAGCCTGGCCAACATGATGAAACTCTGTCTCTCCTAAAAATACAAAAATCGGCTGGATGTGGTGGCAGGTGCCTATAATCCCAGCTACTTGGGAGGCTGTGTCAGGAGAATCACTTGAACCCGGGAGGAGGAGGTTGCAGTGAGCCAAGATGGTGCCATTGCACTCCAGCCTGGGCAACAAGACCAAAACTCTGTCTCAAAAAAAAAAAAAAAACAAAAAAAAAAACAACTTACAGGAAAGTCAGGAAGCGGGTGCAGGGCAGAGGGAAGGAAAAGAACAGGCAAAGAGATTAGGCACTGAGTGGAATGGAAGGGGCTTTGAAGAGAACAGAAATATCGAATGCATTTTAGGTTGTTTGCTGTTGAGATTTGATTTCAGTCCCCTTCTCTATCTCCCCTACACAGCACATTCACTAAAGCATCTGCTGCTCTTTTAAAGAAGCTGTGGAGAGGCTGGGCGTGTTGGCACACGCCAGCACTTTGGGAGGCCGAGGTGAGTGGATCACCTGACGTCAGGAGTTCAAGACCAGCCTGGCCAACGTGGTGAAACCGCATCTCTACTAAAAGTACAAAAATCAGCTGGATGTGGTGGCATGAGCCTGTAATCCCAGCTACTCTGGAGGCTGAGAATCTCTTGAACCCAGGAGGCAGAGGCTGCAGTGAGCCGAGATCACGCCACTGCACTCCAGCCTGGGCGACAGAGCAAGACTCTGTCTCAAAAAAAGAGAAAAAACAAAACAAGAACCTGAGGAGGTTCTAAGTTCTACATTCAGATATGGAGCCATAGAATCAGAGCAGAGGGGGACAGTTGACATCCAGGTTTCATCAGGAGAAGAGAAGCCAAGGCAAAGATCTCCTGGGCAGTCATGATAAATATAGACCCACCATAAAGTAAGACTTCAGCTTTCTGGGGCATTAATCACCCTGTTGGGAGTTAGGCAAGATTGCATCAGTCCTCAGAGGATGATCACCCCTGGGAAAGTCATAAAACAAACTGCACTCACCTGGCTGGGGAGCAGGCAGAGAAACTCAAAGGCTTTATTAACAGCAGTGCAGTGTCATTCTTCATCAACTAGAAGACTCCAGCCTTCTGCAGGTCTGTCAACCCACCCCAGACCTCCTCAGTCACAACCTTGGGAAACTGGATTACAAGACTGACAGATGATTGCAAATGTTCAAAATTTTTATATTCCCCCAACACTATGGTTCTCATAAAACTTCTCCATCTTACTCAAAACAAGCCACCCCCTGCAGCTTTCCAGCTGGTATTAAATTGGCTGAATAATCCCCCTACTGTCAAAAATTTTGTCCTACACAAAAGGAGGGTGATCAGACAAGAAAAATGGACAATCGGCCCCCAGAAGTCACCTGGGCATCCAAGAGCCTGCTCTCTTGTTTTGCAGCTGCACAGGGACATGAGGCCGGGCACAGTGGCTCATGCCTGCAATCCTGGCACTTTGGGAGGCGAAGGTGGGTGGATCACTTGAGGTCAGGAGTTCAACACCAGCCTGGCCAACATGGCGAAACCCCATCTCTACTAAAAACACAAAAATGAGCCAGGCATAGTAGTCCCAGCTACTGGGGAGGCTGAGGCATGAGAATCGCTTGAACCCGGGAGGCAGAGGTTGCAGTGAGCCGAGATCGCAGCACTGCACTTCAGCCTGGGAGACAGAGCGAGAGTCCATCAGAAAGAAAGGAAAGAAAGAAAGAAAGAAAAGAAGGAAAGAAAGAAAGAAAGGAAAGAAAGAGAGAAAGAAAGAGGGAGAGAGGGAGGGAGGGAGGAAGGAAGGAAGGAGGGAAGGAAGGGAGGGAAAAAAAGAAAGAAAGAGAGAAAGAAAGAAAAGAAAGAAAAGAAAGAAGAAAGAAAAGAAAGAAGAAAGAGATCAGAGATGGAAGCCCCCATCTGCTGCACATGCTCACATCCTGTCCCATCTAAATTACTAACTGCTTTAAGGGATTAAGTAAAATGGCACATAGGAGGGAGGAAAGGCTAAGAGAAGACGAGGCATCTGGCTTTCTGTGTCTCCTTGGTGAGGGAAGACCACACCAATGCCAGCCAGCAGCAACAGCAGCTGTGAAGAGAAGCCGCCTTCAAGGAAATGCAACAGGAGAGAGAGAAGGGAAACAAAAGTCAAAAAAATCCCCAGTAAGGATCAGATACCACTTTCCTGAGCATACACACATCCTCTGCCCAAATGCCTGCGAAGTAGTCTGAAATACAAGTCATAATAATGTAAACCAGGTGTTTTAACTTCCGACCATAATGGCTGGCAAGACCATCAATGTACAATAATAACAACAACAACAACATCTGAAGTGCATCTGTGTTTAAACACATAACAAGCATATTTTTCTTTCTTCTCCAAGTAGGTGTCTGTTCTGCATTTATATTGGGATAGCGTCAAGGAGACTATGGACTAAGATCCTTTCTAGAAACAGTTCTTCTGTCTTTGAGAGTAACACTGGTGTTTTGGTTTTTTGTTTCAAAGAAAACACTGATGACAGGAGATGTTGTTTCAGGGAGGGAACTGGAAGTCTTCAGTGGTAGGAGATGCGAACGCTCAGAGGTCACCTCAGCAAACATAAAAACTATAAACTTGGGTCCAGGTGCGGTGGCTCACACCTGTAATCGCAGCACTTTGGGAGGCCGAGGCGGGCAGATCACCTGAGGTCAGTAGTTTGAGACCAGCCTGGCCAACATGACACAACCCTGTCTCTACTAAAAATACAAAAATTAGCCAGGCGTGGTGGCACATGCCAGTAGTCCCAGCTACTCGGGAGGCTGAGGCAGGAGAATCACTTGAACCCGGGAGGCGGAGGTTGTAATGAGCCAAGATCGCACCACCACACTCCAGCCTGGGTGATAGAGTGAGACTCCAACTCAAAAAAAAAAAAGAAAACAAAAAAAAAAAAACTCATGTTGTCCTACAGCCCAGGGAGAGGGAGGCTTAGGGACGTATTTCTTGATAGGGGTGTTACTGGCATTTGGACCAGACCAATGTTTTGTCGGATGAGACTGAACTAGTCTGAAATACAAGCATTGTTAGCAATTCTGGCCTCAGCCTAGGAAATGCCCATCATGCACTCGGACATTGTGACATCCAAAACAAAACAAAAACACACAAAAAACCAGAACAATCTTCCACACATTTCCAAATGCCCTCTTGGGGAGTACCACCCCTGAAAGAGAACTGGAACCAGATGTCCCAAGGTCAACTTTCAAGGTTGAGAATAGCTGTGCTCTGGAGGAGAAAAAAGAGAGAAGGAGCCAAGTACGGTGGCTCATGCCTGTAATCCCAGCACTTTGGGAGGCCCAGGCGGGTGGATCATGAGGTCAGGAGATCGAGACCACCCTGGCCAACATGGTGAAACCCCATCTCTACTAAAAATACAAAAAGTTAGCCAGGCATGGTGGCACACGCCTGTAGTCCCAGCTACTTGAGAGGCTGAGGTAGGGGAATCCCTTGAACCTGGGAGGCGGAGGTTGCAGTGAGCCAAGATCGCGCCACTGCACTCTAGCCTGGCAACAGAGCGAGACTCTGTCTCAAAAAAAAAAAAAAAAAAGAGAAGGAAGAGCTTTACAGACATCAAAAATAACCTAGGCACAAACCTTTGGGGGTCAGTTGTAAAACCACTATAGCAAATTGCCCAAGAATGGCTGTAGACTTTTTAGAGTTAAGAGGAAGTGTATATGTGTGTTTATGTGTGTTAATAAGTAAAATAACCATCTTCTCAAATAGCTTAAGCACAACTGCACTCAGACATAAGAGGTAGATGAAATGACTGCTTGGGCTCTGAATTCTACCTGGAGAATTGGTAGTGAAGGATCTAAAGGAATAGAGTTAATGTCCCATAGTCCATTAAAACAATATCATTACTGACAGACACAATTACACATTCATTCTTTTTTCCTTTTTTGGAGACAGAGTCTTGCTCCATCGCCCAGGCTGAAGTGCAGTGGTGCGATCTTGGCTCAATGTAACCTCCACCTCCCAGGTTCAAGCAATTCTCATGCCTCCTGAGTAGCTGGGATTATAGGTGTGTGCCACTACACCTGGGTAATTTTTGTGTTTTTAGTGGAGACAGGGTTTTACCATGTTGGCCAGGCTGGCCTTGAACTCCTGGCCTGAAGTGATCCGCCCGCCTCGGCCTCCCAAAGTGCTGGAATTACAGGCATGAGCCACCACGCCTGGCCCAATTACACATTCATTTTAATGAGGCATGGTCACATGTTAATAGCAGTTATGGTCATTTTAAAAAATGAACACGGGCCAGGCACGGTGGCTCACGCCTGTAATCCCAAGCACTTTGGGAGGCCGAGGCGGGAAGATCACCTGAGGTCAGGAGTTCAAGACCAGCCTGGCCAACATGGTGAAACCCCATCTCTTCTAAAATACAAAAATTAGCCTGGCATGATGGCTGGTGCCTGTAATCCCAGCTATTCGGGAGGCTGAGTCAGGAGAATCACTGGAACCTGGGAGGCAGAGGTTGCAGTGAGCCAAGATCATGCCATTGCACTCCAACCTGGGGCACTGAGCAAGACTCCATCTCCAAAAAAAAAGAAAAAATTGAACACGAATGCATAGACAATACGTCATTACAGCATGCAAATGGACTACAGTCCTGCAAACAGACACGCAGCAATGCCGGACCTGCCTCTAGGAATCTAGCGTGCAGCCTGCTGCTTTGCCCACAACAGCCCTCGCCTCCTATTGATTTCCTTCCACGCAGGCCAAGTCACAGTTCCCTTTGATAAGAATAACCAATAGCCTTCTAAATTTCCCCAGAAACATGGTGGGTTGAATTTTCAGTTGGATTTTCCACAGCTATAAGGAGAAAATTAATGTAGGAACCAACCCGGTCTTATTCTGCCTACTCACCCACTCCATCCCGACCTGACACTTTAATCAACTCGGCGTGTTTAAAAATAAATTTGATTGTATCAGGGAAGAGAAGTTGCTCAGAGCTCTGTGGCCACCCACAGCAGAATCTTCAAGGCATGCCTCATTTTTCAGGAGTTTGGTTGTTTCGTGTGTTTTTTCTCCATTTTATTCCAGTCCCCAAAACAAAGATTTGAAGGAGGGGAAGTACCTTGGCAATGGCCAAGGAGGGTTTCTTCCTAGCTCCTTCACCACCTGCCAGTTTGTACATTTGGACCAGTGTTTACCTTTCTCAAGCTTTCTATAATGCAGCACAATAGACACAATAAAACCTTGCTTGCTTGCTTTGTGAGGTTATGATAAAGAGATGGAAAGAGCTCGTGTAAGGACTGGGCACGGTGGCTCATGCCTCTAATCCCAGCACTTGGGGAGGCAGAGGTGGGAGGATCACTTGAGCCTAGGAGTTCAAGACCAGCCTCAGCAACATAGTGAGACCCTGTCTCTATAAAAACTAAAAAAATTAGGCAGGCATGGTGGCACACACCTGTAGTCCCAGCTACTCGGTGGGGCTGAGGTGGGAGGATTGCTTGAGTCCAGGAGGTCAAGGCTGCAGTGAGCCATGATGCCGCCACTACCCTCTAGCCTGGGCAACAAATGAGACCCTGTCTCAAAATAGAATTTTTCTTTTCTTTTGAGACAGTCTCACTCTGTCACTCAGGCTGGAGTGCAGTGGTGCGATCTCGGCTCACCACAACCTCCGCCTCCTGTGTTCAAGCAATTCTGCCTCAGCCTCCTGAGTAGCCGGGATCACAGGCGCCCACCACCATGCCCAGCTAATTTTTGTATTTTTAGTAGAGATGGGGTTTCACCGTGTTGGTCAGGCTGGTCTTGATCTCCTGACCTCGTGATCCACCCGCCTCGGCCTCCCAAAGTGCTGTGATTACAGGCATGAGCCACCACGCCCGGCCAAAAGAGAAATTTTAAAAAGAGCTCATGTAGAAGAAAAATGGTGCTGCTCACTGTGAATCTGGGGCATAGCAGTGAGGCGGCAGGGACACTGAGCCCCACAATTCCGCCAGGGCCCTCACCAGTAGGTGAAGCCGGGTACTGGGTTTGGGGGAGTTTGAGCTCTTAGGGGCAATATACAAATTCTGATCTAAACCCTCCCATGTTTATCAAGCACCCATTACATATATTCAGCCAGAACCAGAGCAATGATTGGGTGCAAACCTCATGCTCGCCTCTAAAAATTTCCAATTTGAGGCACTCTGCCTGGTGCAGTTTGGGTTGCTTAGTCTGACCATTCAGGGAACCCCAAAACATCATAACACGGTTTCTTCTGGGATACTAGTTGCTCTGATCATTTCTATGAATGCACAGACTGTCTGCACTGAAAAAGGAATGCAGATTTCTCATTTTCAAGATAATAAAACTGAGGCCCAGATTAGCAAAGAATCTCATTTCTCAAATAAGAAAGCTTCCTACTGAAAGTTGCCTCCTTTATAAATCCTCAAATGAGTAGGTGATATTTGAATGCCAAATGATACCACAAGACAGATTAGCATTGATTTAAATGCTGCTATCTGACAGATCTGGCCATCAATCATAACCTGATGTCTCAGGAGAGTCATCCTTTAGAAAAGGGCTGGGGAACAGCATGACCAGAATTTACAGCTGAACCAACTCTGCCTCGGAGCTGTCCTTTGCGCAACTGCTTGGGCAGCATCAGAATCACCTGAAAGGTTTGCTGGACCCATTCCTGGAGGTCCTAATGGAGTAGGTCTAAGGTGGGGAGTGAGTTTGCATTTCTAACCAGTTTGTGCTGGTGCTACTGTTGATGCTAAAGCTGCAGATGGTCATGGAGCCAGTGCCATATTTTGAGAACTCCATGCTAAAGCAAAGAGGGGGCCTACACATTTAATTTACAGATATTTCAAGAAAACTGGTCATTACAATCATAAGCCACTTATGTGGTGCTCTGGGCTGAACTGTGGGTCTCTCCCCTACTCCCAAAATTCATATGTTGAAGCCCTAACTCCCAGTATCTCCCAATGTGGCTATATTTGGAGCTAGGGTCTTTAAGAAGATAATCAAGTTAAAATGAGGTCAGCAGGGACGGCCCTAATCTTATCTGACTGGTGTCCTTATGAGAAGAGGAGATTAGCACTCAGACTGACACACAGAGAAGACCATGTGAGGACGTGGGAGAAGATGGCACCTGTGAGCTGAGGAGAGAGGCCACAGAAGAAACCCACCAGGCTGACAATTTGATCTCGGACTTCTAGTCTTAAGAACTGTGAAGAAATAAACCTGTTGTTTAAATCACCAGTCTGTGGTTCTTTGTTTTGATAGCCCTTGCAAATAAATACACATGGAGAAGCAAGATGGTGTGAAGAAAAATAGTATCTATTTTGCTAGGAACCAAGAGACGTGGGTTCTAGTCTCAGCCCTGCTGTGAGGCAGATGAGATTTCTCCTCTCCACTTCTCAGACTTCCCACCTCCTCCAGTCAAGGATCTCTCCTGTCAAGTGGGAGTAGTGACCCAAACCCTTTCTGATACACGAGGTTTTTGTGAAGCTCAAACATGAGAACTTATAAGAAAGTGGTTTTGGCCAGGCCCGGTGGCTCACACCCGTAATCCCAGCACTTTGGGAGGCCGAGGCAGGTGGATCACCAGAAGTCAGGAGTTCGAGACCAGCCTGGCTAACATGGTAAAACCCCATCTCTACTAAAAATACAAAAATTAGCCAGGTGTGGTAGTGTGCACCTGTAATCTCAGCTACTAGAGAGGCGGAGGCAGGAGAATTGCTTGAACCCGGGAGGCAGAGGTTGCAGTGAGCCGATATCGCACCACCCCACTCCAGCCTGGGTAACAGAACGAGACTTCATCTCAAAAAAAAAAAAAAGGTTTTTTAAATTGTGAATTTATTTGCTTTTGGTTCTGAACAACTGGAAGATCTGGATAAAATACAAAAATAATCTGTTCAGATGCACTGGGAAGCTATGGAATTCTCCAGAAGCACCAGGATCCAGAAAGAATGGAAGCTCCTGGAGAGAGCCAACACTTCATTTGCTGGTTTTCAAGCAGTTTTGAGCTAGAGGATAAGAATCAGTGCAGAGCTTTTGGCTATCCCTCAGGTCTAGGCAAACAAAAAATGGAGCTGTGGCTGTCAGGGCAACTGAGAGGTGGGGCCAAAATGCCAGAGAGGAGAGAGATGTGGAGAAGGAATCCTGAAGCTCCTCACTGGTTTCCCCTCCAGTCGTTGGTTAATTCCTAAGCTATGTTTAGAAGTTTAGCAAGAAGCTAAGAGGGCTTACCAAAAGCAGCTGAAAAGCTGAGTAAAGCTTTCAAGTCTCAAGGTGATGGGGAGACAAAAAATTGGAGTTTGGGACTGCTATGGTTTGAATGTTTGTCCCTCCAAAACTCATGTGGAAATTTAATCCCCAGTGTGGCAGTATTGAGAGGTGAGGCCTTTAAGAAGTGATTGGGGGCTGGGTGCCATGGCTTTGGCCGGTAATCCCAGCACTTTGGGAGGCCAAGGCGGGTGGATCACTTGAGGTCAGGAGTTCAAGACCAGTCTGGCCAACATGGTGAAACCCTGTCTCTACCAAAAAATACAAAAATTAGCCGGGCATGGTGGCACACGCCTATAACCCCAGCTACTTGGGTGGCTGGGATGGGAGGATTGCTTGAACCCGGAAGGTGGAGGTTGCAGTGAGCCAAGGTTGTACTACTGCCCTTCAGCCTGGGCAACAGAGTGAGACCCTGTCTCCAAATAAAAAATAAAATTAATTAAATTTCTTAAAAAGAGGTGATTGGGTCATGAGGGCTCTGCCTTGAGAAATAAATTAATCCACTCACGGACTAATGGATTAATGGGTGATCATGGGAATGGGACTGGTGGCTTTATAAGAAGAGGAAAAGATACCAGACCTATTGCATTCAGCCCCCTCACCACCTGATGCCCAGCATCTCCTCCAGACTCTGCAGAGTCCCCATAGCAAGAAGGCCCTCACCAGATGTAGCCCCTTTACCTTGGACTTCCCAGCATCCGTAACTATAAAAATGAATTCCTTTTCTTTATAAATTACTCAGTTTCAGATATTCTTTTATAAACAACAGAAAATGGACTAAGACAGGAATCTTTAATTGAATACAATGTATATTTAGGACACTCTGCTTAGAACTTCAGTTAGAGAAATACCAACAGAGGAAAGAGATATTTTACCAAAACAATCATTTAAAAATTTAAGAATCTGCAATCTTCTAAAGCAAAGGTTCTTAAACTGGGGTCTTTAGACTCGTCAAGGTGCCCATAGATAGAATTCAAGGTAGTCAAAAGTAGGGGAAAATATGTTTTTATTTTCACTAGCCTCTAATTCAAATTTAGCATTTTCTTCTATTATGAATGTAGGCAATAAACTACAGTAGTATGATCAGTAACTGTGATTTTTGTCATCAATAAAAATCACCTACGGTTGTTATAGACATCACAAAATATCATTTCTACATACTACTACTTTGAAATTATGGTAAGTATTAGATCTGCCACGAGGTCTTGTTGTTTCAGGCACCAACAGAGAAGCACATATACTACTATATGGCAAATCTGGTCTTTAAAAATATTTTTAAATGCACTTTCATTTAATTAGATTCCTCTGTTATTTAAAATGTTTTATCTTATACACTTGAAGACATTATTCTAAAGAGTCCATGGTATTTTTTGTTTGTTTGTTTGTTTTTCAGACAGAGTCTCACTCTGTCACCCAGGTTGAAGTACAGTGGCGCAATCTCAGCTCACTGCAACTTCTGCCTCCCAGGTTCAAGTGGTTCTCCTGCCTCAGCCTCCCAAGTGGCTGGGATTGCAGGCGTGAGCCACCACACCTGGCTGATTTTTGTATTTTTAGGAGACAGGGTTTCATGTTGGCCAGGCTGGTCTTGAACTCTTGACCTCAGGTGATCCACCCACCTCGGCCTCCCAAATTGCTGGGATTACAGGCGTGACCCACCATGCCTGGCCGTCCACGGTATTTAAATATGTTTTTAAAAATGCTTGGTCAGGCGAGGTGGCAGTTACCTTGGGTCATGCCCTGATTTTCATACATTGCAAATATTGCAATCAGATTCACTGCCACTGAGGGGAGTTAAGGGGAGGATTTGTGCCCATGCTTGGGGTGAAATCAAGGGAATGGCAGCTGCCTACAGAGTCAGGTTTCAGGACAACAAGGAGGGTAGAGCCATGGCGACGGGACAGATGGTGGCTGAGGTGGCTAGTGATAAGCGGGACAGATTTGTGGAACATGTGGGCATTCCCTGGGGATCCCCACTGCGATGTGGGGAAGGGAACCTGGTAGAAGTCTTACTTCCTGCAGTCCAACACAGTGGGGCTCGTGCTGGGATGATCTGGGTTTAAGAAGGAAGTGTGACCTTGTTACGTAGGTCTGAGATGGTTGCCCCTCAGGGCTGGCTACTCTGTAGCATTCTGTCACTTGCCTCTCCCCTCTGCTAGTGCCCACCTTTTGCAGTAAAACTGACATTGCAAAATTGTAACTGAGACAGTGAAAGAGATCTGACCTAACCAACTCCATCTTGCTTCTACCCTCCAAGCTAATAAACAAGGAATGAACCTTGTTTATTCCTGGGCGTAGGCTGAACTAACTTTGGGAGGAACTTAGTTTATAGTTTAAAATAAAGATGGGCTGGGCATGGCATCCCAGCACTTTGGGAGGCCGAGGCGGGTGGATTACTTAAGGTCAGGAGTTCGAGACCAGCCTGGCCAATATGCTGAAACCCCACCTCTACTAAAAATACAAAAATTAGCCGCACGTGGTGGTGTGTGCCTGTAATCTCAGCTACTCAGGAGGCTGAGGCAGGAGAATCGCTTGAATTTGTGGGGTGGAGGTTGCAGTGAGCCAAGATTGCACCACTGCATTCTAGCCTGGGCAGCACAGTGAGACCCTGTATCAAAAACAAACAAACAAACATGGTAACAGCCCTTTCCCGAAACAAGCCTCCTTCTTGCCTGGGGACTAGATTGCCTTTGTAGGACTAACAAAGTAGCCACAAGATTAGAAACAATGGCTTAGGAGTCACGCAGCTGGAGGCTACAAAATTCTGACCCTCCCTAAACTGCTCCTAAAATCAGTGCTTGAGATATTTTGCAGACCCTGCACTTGATGGATCAGCTGGCACAGCTGGCACCACCCAGATGGATAAACTGGCTCACCTGATCTTGTGGCCCCCACCCAGGAACTGACTCAGCGCAAGAGGACAGCTTCAGTTCCCTGTGATTTCATCTCTGACCTGACCAATCAGCACTCCTGGCTCACTGGCTTCTCCCCACCCACCAAGTTGTCCTTAAAAACTCTCATCCCGGAATGCTCGGGGACACTGATTCGAGTAATAATAGAACTCCGGTATTCCGCGCAGCTGGCTCTGTGTGAATTACTCTTTCTCTATTGCAATTCACCTGTCTTGACAAATTGGCTCTATCTAGGCACCAGGCAAGGTGAACCCATTGGGTGGTTACAGGGGGTTGGGAGTCCTCATGGTGGGTATGGCAGTCACTTGACTGGCTTGAAGTCTACCCACTCTGTGTTTTGATTCTGTGTGGTAGCATGTTCTCTGAGATCCTATTAGAGAAGTGGAGAGAGCAGGGAGGGGCAGAGAGGCACAGGTAAGGTGAGAGAGAGAGGTTAAAAAGAAGAGGCTCTAAAGAGGGGCTTTTACATTTTATTATATTATTATATATTATATTTATATATTATATTAATATTATAACTGTAATATTACTGTTATTTTTTATTATTACTATTAATGGCATTATAAGTGCTTTGGTAAAGACTGAATGCATTTGTAAGTCTTATTTTGGTCTGAGCCTGGGTTCTCTCATCTGTAAGTACAGGGACTAAATCAGATCAACCTTTTTCAATCTGTCTGCCTCTCAGTCCTGGCGTTCTGAGGTGTTTCCTGAGGACCTCAAAGGAGGAAGCTCAGCAAGCCTTTAACCAGAGGAATTTCACTTTCCTGACTTTCACAGGAGATTGCATTGTGGTTTTTTTTGTTTTTTTTTTTTTTGTTTTTTTTTGTTTTGTTTTGTTTTGAGATGGAGTCTTGCTCTGTTACCCAGGCTGGAGTGCAGTGGCTGGGTCTCAGCTCACTGCAACCTCCTTCTTCTAGGTTCAAACGATTCTCTCACCTCAACCTCTCAGGTAGCTGGGATTACAGGCATGCACCACCATGCCCAGCTAATTTTTGTATTTTTTTTAGCAGAGACGGGGTTTCATCATGTTGGCTAGGCTGGTCTCGAACTCCTGACCACAGATGATCTGCCCGCCTTGGCCTTTCTTTTTTTTGTTTGCGTTTTTTTTGTTGTTTTGTTTTGTTTTTTGAGACAGAGTCTCGCTCTGTCACCAGGCTGGAGTGCAGTGGCACGATTTCTGCTCACTGCAATCCCTGCCTCCCAGGTTCAAACGATTCTCCTGCCTCAGCCTCTCGAGTAGCTGGGATTACAGGCACGTGCCACCACCCCGGTAATTTTTTTGTACTTTTAGTAGACATGGGGTTTCACCATGTTGGCCAGGATGGGCGCCTTGGCCTTTGTTTTTCTTCTTCCTCCTCCTCCTTCTTCTTTGATAACATATTGGAAGCCTCAAAAAATGTAAGTGGCCTGGACTTCTCTCCATCTTTGCAAGGCCCTGGCATCCTGGATGTATAAAGTGCTACTCCCTCTGGGAAGGATGGCTTTGGGGAGGGATGTAGTGGTGAGACCAGTTATGAGTCTGATGTTGAGGTTCAGGTGTGGGGTGATGGGAATGGACCATGAGGATACTGAAGGCATGAAGAGGGGGCAATTCTGAGAGCCACCCCAAAGCTAGACGGGTGGGTAGGTCTGGGAGGATGCATTTTGGCTGGCTTTCCTTAAATCTAGCATGCTCCTAGGCTGTCTTCCCTGGCCTTGGGTTGATGTGTGTTCATAAAAGGTCAGTTCTTCTCCCATCCCCAAATAACTCATATAATACATTGATACAAATAACATATAGATCCTTAAGTCAAATAGAGATGACTTTTGCATTATTTTATACTGTTATGGTTTAATTTACTCATGTAATACTTGTAAACATGGCTATCAATTTCTGTGTATTTGGAAATTAGGAATTAGTGTCTTATTGAATATAGAGGAGCTTATCTTCATTTATGAGAAAAAAATTTAATTTTTTTGGTGGGGCGATGGAGTCTTATTCTTGTTGCCCAGGCTGGAGTGCAATCGCGTGATATTGGCTCACTGGAACCTCTGCCTCCCGGATTCAAATGGTTTTCCTGTCTCAGCCTCCCCAGTAGCTGAGATTACAGGCATGCACCACCACGCCTGGCTAATTTTGTATTTTTAGTAGAGACAGAGTTTCTCCATGTTGGTCAGGCTGGTCTCACTACTGCCGACCTCAAGTGATCTGCCTGCCTCGGCCTCCCAAAGTGCTGGGGTTACAGGCATGAGCCACCATGCCTGGCCAAAAATTTAATCTTAATACAACTTTTATATCCAGAAACTGAAATAGAGGGACAGTAGTAAAAAGGTATTGCTTTTATTCTATTTTTAGTACATTTTTGGGATCTTTTTTGATCAGTTGATTTTTTCCTGATGTAAATTACACATATGCATATACATATATTTTAGCACTCAAACTGAAGCCAACTCAAGGTACAGCAGAGAAGCTGAAATTTTAGAGCAGATAAGCGCTTTGATTTGAATTGATTGATTAGTTATCCTGATGTTTGAATTAGGTCCGGTTGGTGGGGACAGGGAGGGGTGGTATGATGTTGGAACAGCCCAGTGTATGCCTATCAGTGAGACACTGGTTAGATAACATTCAGGCCAGGTGTGGTGGCTCACACCTGTAATCCCAGCACTTTCTAGGCCATAGGCGGGAGGATTACTTGAGTCCAGGAGTTTGAGACCAGCCATCGCAACATAGTGAGATCTGGTCTCTATTAAAAAAAAAAACCCAAAAATTAAAAAAAAAAAAAAAAAAGTAACATTCTTCAACACAAGGTTTCCCAAACAAGGTAGGTTGAAAATTGGAAACATCTGCTTTTGATAGCTGACGCTTGTCCTGATGGCTATTCAGAGAAGGTGCTTTCCACAAAAGGCATACCGAGGAGGAGGAAAGGGGAAATGAGAGAGGGAAATAGCATTAAAAGTCTAAAGCAAGGGACGTGGCTTAAGCAATTATTCCTAAATTAGGAGCCTAAAACAAAAACCTGATTTTACAACCATCTTCTCTTGATCCTTTAAGCTAACTGATGAATACAACCATTCCTGCTTATTTTGGAGCTTTTGATTCTCTCCTTTTGATGGCATCTGTTTTAAATTATATCTTTATTCAATTTGAATAAGATAAAATTACCTTAAAAACTGATTTTGAGAATTTGAAAAGTTGACCAATTCAGTTTTGACTTAATTTCTTTAAAAGAGGTTCTTAAGCGTTTTTTTTTTTTTTTTTTTTTTTTTTTGTGACAGGGTCTCCCTCTGTTGCATAGGCTGGAGTGCAGTGGCACAATCTCAGCTCACTACAACCTCTGCCTCAGCGGTCCTCCCACCTCAGCCTCTCAAGTGGCTGGGATTATAGGCACGTGCCACCACAACCCAACTAATTTTTTTTTTTTTTTTTTTTTTTGAGACAGAGTTTCACTCTTGTTGCCCAGGCTGGAGTGAAATGGCGCAATCTCGGCTCACCACAACCTCTGCCTCCCGGGTTCAAGTGATTCTCCTGCCTCAGCCTCCTGAGTAGCAGGGATTACAGGCATGCACCACCACACCCAGCTAATTTTGTATTTTTAGTAGAGACAGGGTTTTTCCATGTTGGTCAGGCTGGTCTCAAACTCCTGACCTCATGTGATCCGCCCCTCTCGGCCTCCCAAAGAACTGGGACTACAGGCATGAGCCACCATGCCTGGCGAGGATCAGTTCTCTTTCCCCACCAGAATGTCCAAGCCCAACCTCCTGAAGATTAAGGAAAGCTTTTTCCAGAAAAACACATCTGCAGAAACTTGAAATAAGACAAACTTTAAGGTCATTAGTTCTTGGTGTCTCAAACTTCTCCACTTCTGAAAAGGATCATTGCTTCACCATTGTTTAACTAAAGGCCCTTACAGTTATTTTCTGTAAAACAGTCTGTCCTCAAGGTGAAACAAAGCCCCTACACCAGAGAAATAGAAACAAAATAACACAAAGACATCAAAACAACTAGTTAAACTTCTTTTGCTGTTGTCGTTGCTGTCGTTGTTGTTATTCAGAGACAATGTATCACTCTGTTACCCAGGCTGGAGTGCAGTGGTACAATCATGGCTCACTGCAGCCTCGAACTCCTGGGCTCAAGTGATTCCCCTGCCTCAGTCTCTAGAGTAGCAGTGACTACAGGCACACCCCACCACACCCAGCTAATTTTTGTATTTCTTAAGACACAGGGTCTTATTTAGGTTGGTGCAAAAATAATTGTGGTTTTCACCATTAAAATACTTTGCCATAAAATACTTTGTTGCCTAGGCTGGTCTCAAACTCCTGGCCTCAAGCAATCCTCCTGCCTCCACCTCCCAAAGCACTGGGATTACAGACATGAGCCACTGCACCCAGCTGTAGTTAAACTTTTTAAATGGCATTTCCCCCCTACTTTTAGCCATTGATGTTTCACAAAGTAAACCTTGGCCGATAAGCACATGAAAAGATGTTCAACATCATTAATCATTAGGGAAATGCGAATTGAAACCACAATGAGATAACACCTCATACCCATTAGGAGATCTACCTTCAACAAAAACCAAAACATGAGTGTTGATAAGGATGTGGAGAAACTGGAACCCTTATGCATTGCTGGTAGGAATGTAGGGTGGAATAGCTGCTATGGAAAATCGTATGATGGTTCTTCAAAAAAATTAGACACAGAATTACCATCTGATCCAGCAATTTCACTCCTGGGTATACAGTATACCCAAAGGAATTTAAAGCAGAGACTCAAAGAGATATTTCTACACTCATGTAACTAGCAGAATTATTCACAATGGGCCAGCCGCGGTGCCTCATTCCTGTAATCCCAGCACTTTGGGAGGCCGAGGTGGGCAGATCACCTGAGGTCAGGAGTTTGAGACCAGCCTGGCCAACATGGTGAAACCCCATCTTTACTAAAAATTCTATATTACTGGACGTGGTGGTAGGCACCTGTCATCCCAGCTACTCGGGAGGCTGAGGCAGGAGAATCACTTGAATCCAGGAGGTGGAGGTTGTAGTGAGCTGAGATCACGCCATTGCACTCCAGCCTGGGCAAAAAGAGCGAAACTCTGTATCCAGAAAAAAAAAAAAAAAAGTATTATTCACATTGGCCAAGAGGTAGAAGCACCCCACGTGTCCATGAACAGATGAATAGATTAGCAAACTAAGCTACATCCATACAATGGAATATCAAAAAAAGAAATCCTGGGCTGGGCATGGTGGCTCACGCCTGTAATCACAGCACATTGGGAGGCCAAGACAGGCAGATCATGAGGTCAGGAGATCTAGCATTCTGGCTAACATGGTGAAACTGCGTCTCTACTAAAAATAAAAAATAAAAAAAATTAGCCGGGTGTGCTGGTGGGCGCCTGTTGTCCCAGCTACTCGAGAGGCTGAGGCAGGAGAATCACTGGAACCATGGAGGCGGAGGTTGCAGTGAGCCGAGATGGCGCCACTGCACTCCAGCCTGGGTGACAGAGCGAGTCTCCATCTCAAAAAAAAAAAAAAAAAAAAAAAAAAAAAGTAAATTTTATGTTATGTGTATTTTAAATAAACAAATAGTGGGGGAACTGCCTTGGGGCCCAGTCTTAGCCAGAACACCTCATAGCACACACATCTACACTCTCCATAGTAGGTGAGATTTAAAGAGACCTTAAGTCACTGTATTAGAGAGACTCTGAAGGTATAGAATAGGGGCGAGTTCCAGTTATCTCAGGTAAGGATACATGGGGAAGTGATGAGCACAAGAAACCGTATAAATCTTTGCTGTCCAACAGAACTTTCTGTGAGGACAAACATGTTCTTGGCAATCTTCAATTCTGGGGCCACTCACCAGGCACTGAGCACTTAAAATGTGGCAAATGTGATGGAGGTGTTGCATTTTTCGTTTCATTTTAATTATTTTATTTTATTTCTATTTATTTTATTTTTTTGAGACAGAGTCTCACTCTTGCCAAGACTGGAGTGCAGTGGTGTGATCTCGGCTCACCGCAACCTCCGCCTGCGAGGCTCAAGTGATTCTCCTACCCCGGCCTCCCGAGTAGCTGGGATTACAGGCTCACGCCACTACTGCCCGACCATCATTTTAATTATTTTAAATGGAAGCAGCCACATGTGCCTGGTGTTATCATGTGGGCAGCATAGGGCTGGACAGCCACAGACAGCAGGCCCTGTCTGGAGCATACAGCAGTGCTGTTGGCTCAGCAGCCACACTGGTGGCTGCCCTCCTGGGAGAAGGCACTTACTGCCCCCAGGGCTCTACCATCACGGGGTGACTCCACTCTCCTCTGCTCATGCCTCCAGGAACAAACCACGTCCTAGCTTTCCCTTACTCTTGGCTTTTTCTCTCTTTTGCTCACTGTTGCCTTTGGAAGATCCTTTTGTTTGAATATCATCTATAGCCGGCCCAGCCAGTGTCCCCCAGAATCTATTCAAATATGTCGAAGCACTTAGAAACTCAGCACCTCATAAAGCATCCTCAGTCTCTACAGTGATCCCCCTACCTCAATCTCTAGAGTAGCTGGGACTACTCTAGACTACCTTTTTTTGAGACAAGAGTCTCACCCTGTTGCCGAGGCTGGAGTGCAGTGGCACGATCTCAGCTCACTGGAACCTCCGCCTCCTGTGTTCAAGCGATTCTCCCGCCTCAGCCTCCTGAGTAGCTGGGATTACAGGTGCGTGACACCACACCCAGCTAATTTTTGTATTTTTAGGAGAGACAGAGTTTCACCATGTTGGCCAGGCTGGTCTCAAACTCTGACCCCAAGTGATCCACCCACCTCGGCCTCCCAAAGTGCTGGGATTACAAGTGTGAGCTACCGTGCCTGGCCTGTTTATGTCTTTGGACTGTTCTATTAGAAAGTTTTTTCTAATGAGTGACTCAAACCTTTCGAAAAGGGAGCTCTTGGATAAATGCCTAATAACAACAACAACAAAAAACTGAAGCAAAGTGTTCCATTCTTCTGTCCTTCTCTGCACCTAGAGGTGAGGTTACTCCTGACCTCAGGTGATCCGCCCACCTCGGCCTCCCAAAGTGCTGGGATTACACGCGTGAGCCACCGCTCCCGGCCATGAAAGCTATTTTAAACTTCCAAAGATTATACTGTCCATTGATAATGGGAGCGCCTAAGTGCCCTGGTGTTATGGCCCCAGTCAGCACGCCATCTAAATGCTGAAGATAATAATCTTGCTTCTAATAGGAACCCCTTGAAAAGGAACCCTGTTCAATGCAGTGTTGCATTAAATGGAACGGCTTTTGAATAGGTGAGGCTCTATTTCTTTATGAAGAAAATCTCTCTGTGAAGCACCGTCTCCCTGCAGTGACATATTCTTGTATTCAACCGGATGCTTCACTGGTTTTTTGTGTGTGTAAGCTGAAGCTGAAAATATTTTACTAAATATAAATATCTCTATATAGTTATAGGTGATTTTCTGCCTATTTTCTCCCTTTTATCCATTCCCTCTTTCTTGTCGAGTTCTCACACCTACCATTCAGGGGATATCTTTTCTTTTTTTATAGCTTGTCTAGTTTTCAGTATTTGTCAAAGACCTAGTGTAACCGCTGGACCTTTTGTTTTTGTTTTGTTTTGTTTTTTCTTTGAGACAGAGTCTCGCTCTGTCGCCCAGGCTGGAATGCAGCAGCGCTATCTTGGCTCACTGCAACCTCCGCCTCCTGGGTTCAAGCAGTTCACCTGCCTCAGCCTCCTGAGTAGCTGGGACTACAGGTACCGCCCAGCTAATCTTTTTGTATTTTTAGTAGATACGGGGTTTTGCCATGTTGGCCAGGCTGGTCTTGAACTCCTGACCTCAAGTGATCTGCCGAATTCAGCTTCCCACCACTGGATCTTCTTTTTTTGTGTATGTGAGATGGTGTCTCACTCTGTAGCCCAGGCTGGAGTGCAGTGGCACGATCTCGGCTCATTGCAAGCTCCGCCTCCAGGTTCACACCATTCTCCTGCCTCAGCCTCCCAAGTAGCTGGGAATACATTTGCCTGCCACCATGTCCAACTAATTTTTTTGTATTTTTAGTAGAGATGGGGTTTCACCGTGTTAGCCAGGATGCTCTCGATCTCCTGACCTCGTGATCTGCCCGCCTCGGCCTCCCAAAGTGCTGGGATTACAGGCATGAGCCACCGCACCTGGCCAACCACCGGATGGGGTCCTATCTTCTTAATGGTTTGAGGATCCCTTCAAAAATCTCCAATAATAATAAGCACCATTGGCTGGACATCCTGGGCGCCAGGCAGTAGGTTAAAAATGTGCATTTATATGCTTGATATTATTCCATTTGTAATCGAGATGTATTTGTACATGAAAAGTTGTGTCCAAATCATCAGTTATCAGTCAAATATGTTGGGGCTCAGGAAACAGTACCCCAAAATAGGGTGCTTTGACCTGGAGAACTAAACAAACAGCCTCAAGGTCTCTCTGACCTCCCTCAGCCCTGTTCCTCAATACTCTGCCTCTCTCAAAACACAGAAGGAAGCTTTTCTCTGAAGTTCCCTTATCTACCTAGAAACTAGACCCCCAAAGAGAAACACAATTGCCTTCAACCCCTTCCCTGAAATTTCATTATCCAGAGAAAATTAAAATTAAAATTAAAATTAAAACTTATATCACAGAGCAAGACTCCGTCTCAAAAAAAAAAAAAAAAAAAAAAACTGAAATACTCCACCTAATTTTTTTTTTAATTTAATTTTTTTTTTTTTAGAGACAAGGTCTTCTGTGTCGCCCAGGTTGGTCTCAAACTCCTGGGCTCAAGTGATCTTCCCACCTTGGCCTCCCAAAGTGCTGGGATTACAGGCAAGAGCCACCACACCCATCCAATAAAATGTTAATTCCTAAAATAGAAATAAATTTCAGAATTGTCTTTCGTATGAAAAAAAAAAAAAAGTAGCCATTGAGGGTATCCAAAAACTTCAGTATAAGAGATCAGGCTTGGGGGCCTCCTCCTGACCTCTAAAAATGAGTCCTGGCCGGGCGTGGTGGCTCACACCTGTAATCCCAGCACTTTGAGAGGCCAAGGCGGGCAGATCACAAGGTCAGGAGATCGAGACCATCCTGGCTAACACGGTGAAACCCCGTCTCTACTAGTAATACAAAAAATTAGCCAGGCGTGGTGGCGGGCACCTGTAGTCCCAGCTACTCGGGAGGCTGAGGCAGGAGAATGGCGTGAACCCGGGAGGTGGAGCTTGCAGTGAGCCGAGATCGTGCCACTGCACTCCAGCCTGGGCGACAGAACGAGACTTCATCTCAAAAAAAAAAAAAAAAAAAAAAAATTTGGGAGGCCGAGGCAGGTGGATCACAAGGTCAGGAGATCGAGACCATCCTGGCTAACATGGTGAAACCCCGTCTCTACTAAAAAATACAAAAAATTAGCTGGGCATGGTGGCGGGCACCTGTAGTCCCAGCTACTCGGGAGGCTGAGGCAGGAGAATGGTGTGAACCCAGGAGGCAGAGTTTGCAGTGAACTGAGATCGCGCCACTACACTCCAGCCTAGGCTACAGGAGACTCCGTCTCAAAAAAAAAAAAAAAATAGTCCTAAGGACTCCCAGACACTACTCCAACAGCATGAGAGACTCCTGTTACCACAGCAACTGCCCTATGGCATCACTGTCCATGCCAAAATCCTCCTCCTCGCATCTTCTGAGGGCTTTCGGCCGGGAGTGTGAAAGAGAGCTTCGCGGCAGGGGCAACATCAAGGGTTCCCAATGCCTTTCCTAGAAGTGAAATTCCTTCCCCCGCGCTCATGGACCAAGGTTTCCTAAAGCCTGGGGGATTCCTAAGGCACCTAGAGCTGAGGGAGACTACAGACATAGCTGAGTTTACATACTTGCCTGGCACATTGCAGGGCTTCAGTAAATGTGTATTTATTAAACGTATGCAAGAGCTAAAAGCTCCTTTGCCAATGCCCAATAAATTTTAAAGACAATACAGAAATCTGACTCACACGATGGTTATTGACAGACAGAATATTGGAAAGGCCATAGTGCCGTCATGTGGATCTTTGTAAGGGTTAATGGCTGCTTCTTTGAATCTCAGTGTAGCAGCTGCAGATGACATCAGATTTTCTGCCACATTGGCTTAAATCAACACAATGAATCCATCAAGGGGAAGGCCAAGGCACCATTTGGGGCTTACAAGGAAGGACTGGCCAGAGGTGTTCAAACAAATGAGATTTCCCCTGCTGTATGAGGACATCTAAAATGTGACCATTTTAGGCATTTTCATAAAACAGTTAACTGCCTTTCTCGCTGAGAAAAAGACACACAGGACAAACATCAAGAGGCACAGATGACTACATCTCAGCCCAGTGTTGGGTGAGACAGAATGTTAGGAATTTGCTTAATTAGTAAGCAACAATTAATACAATTAGTTTGTATTAATTTGTACAACAAATACACATGAACTTCCTAGCTGTCTTTGTTCTCCCAGGTCCTCTCATCAGGTGATAGAACTGCCACATCACACATGGTTGCAATTATCACATTCCTAATAGAACACACATTCTGGAATATTCAACAGTCTTTTTATGAAAGACACCCAAAGCCTAAGAAACAATCACAGTCTTCAGAATTGCAGCGTGAACAATCCTGACACGTTGATTCTTCATTTAAACACACTCAGGAACAGCCAACAAATGGCACGTGTTGTCTATCTGTGCTCTCTGCAAATATATGTATGCTAGCGTCATCTAATGTGTCACCACATTTACCCTTTGTCTCAGCAGTCCTACCGGCCAAAACCCTAGGGAAAGAATGGCAAATTGGAAATGCAATCTACAGCATTCCTTTCCAGAAAATCTCAGGACAGGTATTTTCTTAGCAGTTCTGGGCTCATCATATTCAATTAATTCCCCACAGCCAACGATTTCATTTTCCGTAATAACTCAGAAGAGACCAAGAAAGTGATGCAATTCCATCTCCTTCCCTATCAACCACCTGCAAAGCTTTCACCTGCTGTAGTCAGAAGCCATTCCCCAGGCTCCCAAAAGTGTGAACAGCCCAAGGGTGGGTCCCAGGGGCAGGAGGGAAAGCCACGGAGAAACAGAGGCCAGGCGGTAGGGGAAAAATCGCATTTCTTTTGCAGAGAGTAAAACAGATACCCAGGTGGTAAACATAACTTCCAATTACTTGCCTTAAACCAACCCTGAAATGTGAAGTTCTCATATTTCCTTAGCTGACAACAGGCAGAAGATCCAGTCTGTAAATAACAAGGACTTTAGACTATAAATTTAGGGCTTTCAAGGGAAGCTCCAGGCTAGTCCCAGCATTTCCTCAGGCAGGCTTCAGTGTGGCATACTCTGCAGTCCTCGTGAATCACTCTGCCTGGCTGGACCAGATGAAGGACTAGATTCCTCAGAGTGTGAAACTAGTACCACCTTCCTAGGAAGTCACCTAAGTCCCCTGTTACAAATGCAAATTCCTGGGCCTTATCCCAGACCTAGTGAGTCAGACTCTCAGAGGAATCTACATTTTTAACTAGTGCCCTCTAATGAGGCTAGTGCACAGTAAAAATTTGAAATTTCGAGGCCAGGTGCAGTGGTTCACGCCTGTAATCCCAGCACTTTGGGAGGCCAAGGTGGGAGGCTCACTTTAGGCCAGGAGTTCAAGACCAGCCTAGGAAATATAGCGTCAGAGCCATTCAGTGACCCTATGTCGAATGGGACTGCGTAAAATAAGGCTGAGACCTAGTGGGCTGCATTTACAGGAGGGTAGGCATTCTTAGTCACAGGATGAGATAGGAGGTCATCAGGACTGGTATCACAGGATACCGAGTTTATTAGAGGGTCTTGCTCTGTTGCTCAGACTTGAGCCCAGGAGTTTACATCTTTTTTTAATTTAAAAAAAATTTCAAAACACTCAGCTCGTTTTAAATTTTTTTTTTTAATTTTAAAAATCTAAATTTTGTTAAGATCCTGATGATAAAAAAAAGGTGCAGTAAAGAAAATCGCCAACCCCACCAAAACAAAAATGGCAACAAAAGTGATCTCTGGTTGTCCTCACTGCTCATTATGTGCTAACTATAATGCATTAGCATGCTAAAAGACACTCCCACCAACACCAAGACAGTTTACAAATGCCATGGCAATGTCTGGAAATTACCCTATATGGTTTAAAAGAGGGAGGAACCCTTAGTTCCAGGACTTGCCCACCCCTTTCCCAGAAATCTCATTATTAATCCACCTATTGTTTAGCATATAATCAAGAAATAACCATAACTATACTCAGTTGAGCAACCCATACCACTGCTCTGTCTGTGGAGTAGCCATTCTTTTGTTTCTCTACTTCTCTAATAAACTTGCTTTCACTTTACTGCATGGGCTCGCCCCAAATTCTTTCTTGCACAAGATCCATAAACCCTCTGTTGCAGTCTGGATCTGGACGCCTTTCTGGTAACAATAGCAAGGCTCCACCTCTACAAAAAAAAATTAAAACTAGCAAGGTGGTGGCACACATGTAGTCCCAGCTACCCCAGAGGCTCACGTGGGAGGATGGCTTGAGCCTAGGAGTTCCAGGTTACAGCAAGCTATATGCACACAAGTGCACTCCAGCCTGAATGACAGAGCAAGACACTGTCTAAAGAAAAAAAAAAAATTGAAAACTACTGATAAAGTATATAACCCTAGGGCAAGCAAGGATCCTAAAGTTCTCCCAAATGAGGAACCAAGACACCCACTGTTTTCATCTGTAGGAGTGCATCCTTATACGTCCCTGGGAAGACAGGATGGAGACTCAGTGGTCTCAAACTTGAAGGTAAATAGAGGTTCTCAACCAGTAATGTGGGCTCCAGTAGCCTGAGGTGGACCCTGCACTTCTAACAAGCTCCCAGGTGCTGTCCATGCTGTACCATGCCTTGAGTATAGCTGGAGATTTGGGTGGATTCATTTACAATCCCAACAGCCTGGGGTAAACAGAGTGCAGGAGGAAGTCCCTCAGGCTCAAAATCCCTCTTACCTTTTAAAATGCAAAGACTTCCACAGAAGGGTAAAGCTTTAGAGTGACTTATTTTTTATCAGGTTGCTATCTTCCTAGCTAAATTCAGCTCCACCCAGAAGGTGGAAGTTTTAACTATTGGGGAGTAGATAAAAGTAAGTAGTTTGAATGGGATCTGTCCCAAGGGTCTTGGAGAGAACTAGGGCAATGGGGCGGCAGTGGGAGTGGGAGTGAGGGAGGCAGGGTGGAGTTTGCTCCCTTAAGAGAAAAGCAGGCAGGTGTGAGAGAGCTGCTTGGTGGAAGGGAGTAAAAGTCCAATTTGCTGAATTGCAACATTAAAAATCCTAACTGGGTGCCTGTTGTGTGCCAAGCACTGGGCTAGGGCTTAGGGATGCTCACATGAACAAGACTTATGAACAGTCCCATTGCTGCAGGAGCTGGAGGCCCAGCAAGTGAGCCTACAGCACTGGGAGTGAAAATTACCCCCAGGCAGCATTGCAAGCTTTTGGCACAGTGCCATCAATTGTCAGTGCCATTGGTTGCCTAGGCCATGGTAAAGTAGAATCTTCGTCAATACTGGAATGCTTAAAAACAGTGCAGGATATCAAGCTCCAGATACACTAAAATGCACAACAGCCATGGATTACTGTCCACTTGACTCTCATTGCCAAAGCCTTTGAAAATTTCAATCACTGCCTGCTAGCTAATGCTGTGGGTTCCGCAGACTCCCTGTTAGTCACTGGAGGTCATCACATGTCTAATCCATCTTTATAAAATTTTACACATGGAATTCTCCATAGAATAATGACTATAAGTGGCAGGGCGTGGTGGCTCATGCCTGTAATCCCAGCACTTTGGGAGGCTGAGGTGGGTGGATCACGAGGTCAGGAGATTGAGACCAGCCTGGCCAACACAGTGAAACCCCATCTCTACTAATAATACAAAAATTAGCCGGGCGTGGTGGCGCATGCCTGCAATCCCAGCTACTCAGGAGGCTGAGGCAGGAGAATCGCTTGAACCTGGGAGGCAGAGGTTGCGGTGAGCCAAGATCGCGCCATTGCACTCCAGCCTGGACAACAAAAGTGAAACTCCGTCTCAAAAAAAAAAAAAAAGAAAAAAAAAGAATGATGACTATAAGTTTAAAACAATTTATTTGGGCCATTAAAATTAAAATTTTTAATTAAGAAAAAGTCATGTAGGAGAAAAAATTTTTCCCTCTATCATCTTTGGTTCAGTGACTGGGGCCTATGAGTTAAATTGACAAAAGACAGGTTAACAGAAGAAAAGACACAATTTTTACTGATGTTATGGTTACATGCACAGGGGTTTCACAGAAAAGTAGAAATCCAAAGAAGCATTTACACACAGGGTCATATATACCATTCTAGCAAAGGGTGATAAATTGTGGAGAAGTGACTAGACAAAGGAAAAGGGGTTTGGGCTACTGGGGATGATAAGTTGTGGGAAAGTGACTAGGAAATATATAGAGGAAGCTAATGGAAGAAAAAGATTATTTTAGTAAGGCATGTTTATGTAGCTTTGTCTTGTTGTCAATTCTCCATTGCTGATGATAAGAGTTGTGCTCCTTTTTCTGGTACAAGGAAAGCACTTTCTCTTGAGAAAGTTATGCCATGCTTTTAGGCAGATATGGGGAGGGCAGAGAGCTCTTCCTGTGTCTGCTGTTTCTCACTTGTCTTCAGCTCAAGATCATCAATATACCAAAGTAGCATATGTTGGTGTAGCATATTTTGGGCCCCTTCAGAATCAAGCCTCAGGAACCCCTCCCACGTGTATAGGCTATAAACTCACTACATTCTTACTCTCTGTTCATGTAAGTTAGGAAGTCTTTAAAATATTCCAACCAACACAGAAATGCTGAGTACCTACAATTTCACCAGGAGCCCATTTCTAGAATCCATCAACCAACAACAAGCCACTGATTTCAGCAATAGAACACCATCTCCAACATTCACTATGCTAATTAGAAAAGCAATTGCCATTGGCATAAACTCATATCACAGCCTTGGAGAACCAGACTCAGAAGTGTGAGCTGGAAGTCCTAGCTAGAGGGTTCTGCCTAGCCCACATATTAGACAGCCTCACACAGCATTCAGACTGACCTCACTCAGGCCCCAGGGATGTGTTTCCCCATTATCCTGCCTTATTCCCTCATAGGACAACTGCATCTCAGCACCATCAACATCTGCGAATTTTACCACTGCCAACATCTGCAACAGACCCTCCTTCAAAGTGCTGAGAAGACTTGAAAAGCAGAAGCTTTAAGTTAAGGTAAAATTCCAAATTATTTGTCAAAAACTCCCTCTCAGGCTGCATAAATGCCATAGCTTCTTGCATAACAAAGCATCATTTCTTGCTTCTCTCTGTGTTCCAATTAGTGATTCCAAAGCTACTCATAAATTAGCATAGTTTTCCAAATGTTGCACATGACAGCCGAGAAAAATTCTACAATATTAAACAACTCATATTACTCTAAATTTACAAATATGTATTTGTAGGAGTATAAATACCGTGATACTAATTCAGTGATACTAATTCTTTAATATTGGCAACTGGATGAACATAGAATGCTAGAATGGCAAATAGTTTTATCTTTATAAAAACATTGAGTAAGATGCGATTAAATTTCCAAACAAAGAAATTAAAAATATTGTCTCTATTTAAATTATTTTTATTTATATTTTATTTATTTATTTTGAGACAGAGTATCTCTCTGTCACCAGGCTGGAGTGCAGTGGCACGATCTTGGCTCACTGCACTTGCCCCCTGGGTTCAAGTGATTCTCATGCCTCAGCCTCCTGAGTAGTTGGGACTACAGGTGCATGCCACCATGGCTGGCTAATTTTTGTATTTTTAGTAGAAAGGGGGTTTCACCATGTTGGCCAGGCTGGTCTCGAACTCCTGACCTCAGGTAATCCACCCTCCTTGGCCTCCCAAAGTGCTGGGATTACAGGCGTGAGCCACCACACCCAGCCTAAATTATTTTTATTTTTAAATCTTTAGACATTTTAATTATAACTTGTATTTTACCTTTTGCTTCTGAAAATTTTGTATTTTTAGAAAAAAATTGGAAAACGTGTGAAAAATAATTTTGATTTTTCACTTTTTAACATTTACAGCTGACCCTTGAACAATGCAGAAGTTAGGAGCACCAACTGCTCATGCAGTTGAAAGTCCATGTAAAACTTTTGACTCCCCACAAATTTAACTCCTAATAGCTTGCTGTTGACTGGAAGCCCTAACAATAACATAAACAGTCAATTAACACATATTTTATATATGCATTATATACTATATTCTTGTAATACAGTAAGCTAGAGAAAAGAAAATGTTATTAAGAAAATCATAGGATGAGAAAATATGCTAATTAGAAAAGCAATTGCCATTGGCATAAACTCATATCAGAAGTGTGGGCTGGAAGTCCCACCATTCTCCTGCCTCAGCCTCCCGAGTAGCTGGGACTACAGGCGCCCACCACCGCACCCGGCTAATTTTTTTTGTATTTTTTAGTAGAGACGGGGTTTCACCGTGTTAGCTGGGATGGTCTTGACCTCCTGACCTCGTGATCCGCCCGCCTCGGCCTCCCAAAGTGCTGGGATTACAGGCGTGAGCCACTGCGCCCAGCCTACATTTGTTAATGACAATATATTTGACAAGGTAGAGGGTAAAAAATTATTAAGCAGTTTGCAACTTCTAAATATTTAGATACATTGGCCGGGCGCGGTGGCTCATACCTGTAATCCCAGCACTTTGGGAGGCCGAGGCAGGCAGATCACGAGGTCAGGAGATCGAGACCATCTTGGCCAACATGGTGAAACCCCATCTCTACTAAAATACAAAACATTAGCCGGGCATGGTGGCACATGCCTGTGGTCCCAGCTACTCAGGAGGCTGAGGCAGGAGAATCGCTTGAATCCGGGAGGCAGAGTTGCAGTGAGCCGAGATCAGGCCACTGCACTCCAGCCTGGCTAGAGAGTGAAACTCTTGACTCAAAAAAGAAAAAAAATTTTGATACATGGTCCAGGAGGCTAACATTGACCAAGTGTACATCACTGATTAAAAAGCTATCTGTGAGCCGGACACAGTGGCTCACGCCTGTAATGCCAGCACTTTGGGAAGTCAAGGTGGGTGGATCACGAGGTCCTGAGTTCAAGACCAGCCTGGCCAACATGGTGAAACCCTGTCTCTACTAAAAATACAAAAAATTAGGCCAGGCGCAGTGGCTCACACCTGTAATCCCAGCACTTTGGGAGGCCAAGGCTGGCGGATCACCTGAGGTCAGGAGTTCCAGACCAGCCTGACCAACATGGAGAAACCCCTTCTCTACTAAAAATACAAAATTGGCCGGACGTGGTGGCGCATGCCTGTAATCCCAGCTACTTGGGAGGCTGAGGCAGGCAAATCGCTTGAACCCAGGAGGCGGAGGTTGCGGAGAGCTGAGATCACACCATTGTACTCCAGCCTGGGCAACAAGAGTGAAACTCCATCTCAGAAAAAAAAAAAAAAAAAGAAAGAAAAGAAAAAAATTATCTGGACATGCTGGCATGTGCCTGTAATCCCAGCTACTCAGGAGGCTGAGGCAGGAGAATCGCTTGCACCCAGGAGGCAGAAGTTGCAGTGAGCTGAGATCACGCCATTGCACTCCAGCCTGGATGACACAGCAAGACTCTGTCTGGAGAAAAAAAAAAAGAAAAAGAAAAAAGCTATCTGTGCCTGGGACTTAACTGCAATAAAATATCCTCTATCTTAATCTGATCCTGCTGCTATAACAAAATACCTAAACTGGGTAATTTATAAACAACAGAAATGTATTTCTTACAGATCTGGTGGCTGGGAGGTTCAAGATCACAGCACCAGCAGATTTGATGAAGGCACACTCTATGCTTCCAAGATGGCTGCTTGCTGCTGCATCCTCACAAAGCAGAAGCGGAAATGGAACAAATGCTGTGTCCACACATGGCAGAAAAGACGGAAGAACAAAAGGGATGAACTTGGTCCCTCAAGCCCTTTTATAAAGGTACTAATCCTATCCATGAAAGCAGAGTCCTCATAGCCTAACCACCTCCCAAAGGGCTCACCTCTTATACCCAAAAGAATGAAAAGCAGTGTCTCAAAGAGATATCTGTACACCCATGTTCTTTTTTTTTTCTTCTTCTTTTTTTTTTTTGTTTTGAGACACGGTCTCACGCCCGGGCTGGAGTGCAACGGCACAATCTTGGCTCACTGCAACCTCTACCTCCTGGGTTCAAGTGATTCTCCTGCCTCAGCCCCCCGAGTAGCTGGGATTACAGGCACATACCACCATGTCCCGCTAATTTTTGTATTTTTAGTCGAGATAGGGTTTTGCTATGTTGGCCCAGCTGGTCTTGAACTCCTGACCTGAGGTGATCCGCCTGCCTCAGCTTCCCAAAGTGCTGGGATTACAGATGTGAGCCACCGCACCCAGCTGTACATCCATGTTCAACAGCATTTTTCACAACAGCCAAAAGGTGGGAGCAACCCAAGTGTCCACTGACAGATGAATGGATAAACAACATGTGGTCTATACATACAATGGAATATTATTCAGCCTTAAAAAGGAAGTAAATTCTGATACATGCTACGACATGGGTGAATCTTCAGGACATTATGCTAAATAAAATAATCCAGCCACAAAAAGGCAACTATGGTATGATTCTACTTATAAGAGGTAATTAGAATAGTCAAGTTCCAGAAAGTAGAATGGTGATTGCCAGGGGCTGGGGAGAGGGTGAATGGAGATTTGTTGTTTAGTGGTATAGAGTTTCAGTTTTCCAAGATGAAAAGAGTGGTGGAGATTGGTTGTATAGCAATGTGAATGTACTTAACACTACTGAACTATACATTTAAAAAAAGTTAGGCTGGGCTTGGTGGCTCACGCCTGTAATTCCAGCACTTTGGGAGGCCGAGGCGGGTGGATCACTTAAGGTCAGGAGTTGGAGACCAGCCTGGCCAACATGGTGAAACCCTGTCTCTACTAAAATACAAAAAATACAAAATAGCTGGGAGTGGTGGCACGAGCCTGCAATCCCAGCTACTTGGGAGGCTGAGGCAGGAGAATCGCTTGAACCTGGGAGGTGGAGGTTGCAGTAAGCCAAGATCGCACCACTGCACTCCAGCCTGGGCGACAGAGTGAGACTCTGTCTCAAAAATAAATAAATAAATAAAAATAGTTAAGACGGTAAATTTTATGTTATGTGTTTTTTACCACTATTGTTTCAAGAAGGAATAGGCAGACATCCTACCAGAGGGATTCAGGGAATGCTTCTCGAAACAAATAACCTTTAAACTAAGAGATAAAGTTTGAGTAAGAAAGGCCAAATGGAACTAAAAGATGGCCATGTGGCTGGAATGCAGGGCAAGGGGTGCCGTGGCCAGAGGGAGCTGGAGTGAGAGGATAGGGCCTGGTGGGCATAGTAAGGAGTTTGTGTTTTATCCTGAGAGCAATGAAAGGAAAAAGAATACAGGTGGATGAGGCTGATCTCTGTGGAACAGTTGGCAAGCAATTCAACACACAATATCCAATATCGTGCTAAATGATGAGGTAGAGAATGTTGGTCTGGAGAATCCTGGAGAGTTCAGTACAGGCAATGGGCCCACATGGAGGAGGCAGCAGAGTGCTGGGTAAGCAGAATTTGATGGGTCACCAGAAGACCAGGGCTTAAGGGGCTCAGCCTCCTGGCTTTGTGGTGGACTCAACTTGCTCTCAAAAATGCCTATACCAAATAGAATATAAATGCTATGTAAATTGTTGTTAGACTGTATTATTTTTAAAATTTTAGGTCCTATTGTTGTATTGTTATTTTTTATTGCTGTGTTTTCCAAATGTTTTTGATTTGTGGTTGGTTGAATCCTCAGATGCAACATCTGAGGATGTGGAGGGCTGTCTGCACTAAGAATACAAACTCAGCCTAGACAGACCTGTGAATTCATCTCTGTAAATTGTTGCAAGCACCAAGAAGCATGCACATTTAACCGGTCCAACACAGCCCCTGTAAGAGGTGGGCATGTTAATGCTGGTGATGACAGTGAAAGTGTTGATAGAGATAACAGCTAATCTAACCACAGATGATAGACAACAGCTATTGCTACCCCACCCAGTCCATTCCTGGTGCCTCCCACTCTCCTATGGATTAAACTCCATTTTATAGTACATCAGGGTATTGGACTGCTTTTTGAAAAAAATGCATTGTTTTTTCCCATTTATCACCAAAAAAAAAAAAAAAAAAAAATCAAATACACTCCCTCTTTAGTCCTGCAGCAAGCAATTCTGGCTTTGTGAGTATCCCAGCAGGGTCTCGAATTTGCATAGAGCTCCCCGGCAGCTTGAACCTGTGCAGCTGAGGTGCGTTCCTTCCCCATGCCACTGGGCAGAAAGAACACCCTTAGAATGTAAGAATGGGGCTCCCTTCTAAGTGTAACAGCCTGAGTGAGCTTATGGGTAGGTTATGTCAGAGTGTTAAATCAAGTTGAGCCTAAAGCTGCCTCCTAAATATTTTAAGTTTGACCTAAAGGTTTTTCTGTACATCATGAACTATAACAAGTGGAGGTGTAAAAAGACTATAGCCTACATTTGTGACAATCATCAAGTTTTGGCCAATCAAATGTAACCAACTGTTCGAACCATGTTCAAATAATGCAGTCCAGCTGCTTCTGTACCTCACTTCCATTTTCTGTACGTCACTTTCCTTTTCCTGTCCATAAATCATCTTCCACCACGTGGTTGCACTGGAGACTCTGAGCCTACTCTGGCTGGGAAGGCTGCCTGATTGACAAATTGTTCATTGCTCAATTAAACTCCTTTAAATTTAATTCGGCTGAAGTTTTTCTTTTATCAAGAGAAAGGGGGAGGCTGATGAGCTTGTCAATTTCTCTAAACTTCTCAGAGCCTGAGAAATCATCCAACTTTCATATCCATTTCAGTGATGCTAACTCAAATAACACATATTTCCCCTACACTTTTTTCCATAACGAGAATGGGAAAGTAAATTTTCCTTGAAGTAAATTCTTTTTTTCTTTCTTCCTTTTTTTTTTTGGAGGTGGAGTCTCGCTCCATCACCCAGGCTGGAGTGTAGTGGCAAGATCTGGGTTCACTGCAACCTCAGCCTCCCGGGTTCAAGCAATTCTCCTGCCTCAGCCTCCCAAGTAGCTGGGATTACAGGTGCCTGCCACCATACCCAGCTAATTTTTTGTGTTTTTAGTAGTGTAGCAGGACAAGCCGCAGACAAAACCCCTCAGACACCGAGTTAAAGAAGGAAGGGCTTTATTCAGCCGGGAGCTTCGGCAAGACTCACGTCTCCAAAAACCGAGCTCCCCGAGTGAGCAATTCCTGTCCCTTTTAAGGGCTCACAACTCTAAGGGGGTCTGCGTGAGAGGGTCGTGATCGATTGAGCAAGTAGAGGGTACGTGACTGGGGGCTGCATACACCAGTAATTATAACAGAACAGAACAGGACAGGGATTTTCACAGTGCTTTTCTATACAATGCCTGTAATCTATAGATAACATAACTGATTAGGTCAGGGGTCGATCTTTAACTACCAAGCCCAGGGTGTGGCACCGGGCTGTCTGCCTGTGGACTTCATTTCTGCCTTTTAGTTTTTACTTCTTCTTTCTTTGGAGGCAGAAACTGGGCATATGCAGACAATATGAGGGGTGGTCTCCTCCCTTAGTAAAGATGAGGTTTCACCATGTTGGCCAGGCTGGTTTCCAACTCCTGACCTCAAGTGCAGGGATTACAGGTGTGAGCCACTGCGCCCAGTCTGAAGTAAATACTTTTGATTTCCAAATAAATTTTGTTGGCATAGAGGCTTGCCGAGCCAGCCTCTGTTAAGTCAATTCTCATTTCTCTGTGTTACTCATTACTATCACAATTGTTGTAAATAACTCATATTTATTGAACAATTAACATGCCAGCACTGTTAAGAATTTATGTTTGTATCTCATTTGATCTTCTTAATAACCGTATGAGGTTTTTTACAGATGAGGAAACCGGGGCTCTAGAAAGTAGTTATGTACCCACGCTCATAAGTGGCAGAACTAGGATTTAAACCTGGGTCATCTGTATTTGCTATTCAGGGCTGATGTAACAAATTACCACAGACTGAATGGCTTTAAATAACAGAAATTAATTCTGTCACAGTTCTGGAGGCTGGAAGTTTTCAGTCAAGGTATCAACAGGGTTGGTTCCTTCTGGAGGCTCCGAGGACTCTGTTCCATGCCTCTCTCCCAGCTTCTGGTGGTTGCTGGCCACGTTGGCATTCCCTGGCTTGTGGACACATTGCACCAATCTCGGTCTCCATTTTCACGAGGCATTCTCCTCTCTATGTGTTTCTCTTTGCCTCTGTGTCTTTTCTTCTAAGGACACAAGCGATTGAATTTACGGCCCATTCTAAGTCAATATGACCTCATTGTTTTTATTATTTATTTCTTTCTTTGAGACAGTTACGCGCTTGTTGCCCAGGCTGGAGTGCAATGGCGCGATCTCGGCTCACCACAACCTCCACCTCTGGGTTCAAGTGATTCTCCTGCCTCAGCCTCCCTAGTAGCTGGGATTACAGGCATGTGCCACCACGCCTGGTTAATTTTGTATTTTTAGTAGAGATGGGGTTTCTCCATGTTGGTCAGGCTGGTCTCCAACTCCTGACCTCAGGTGATCCGTCTGCCTCGGCCTCTCAAAGTACTAGGATTACAGGCATGAGCCATTGCACCTGGCCTTTATTTTCTTTTTATATTTTTCTTTTTTATTTGTATTTATTTATTTTTTTGAGACAGAGTATTTTTCTGTCACTCACACTGGAATGTAGTGGCAAGATCATAGCTCACTGCAGCCTTAACTTCCCAGGTTCAAGCCATCCTCCCACCTCAGCCTCCCTAGTAGCTAGGACTATAGGTATGCACAACCACATGTGGCTAATTTTTTTTTTCTATTTTTTTTTTTTTTTTTTTAGTAGAGATGAGGTTTGCTATGTTGCCCAGGCTGGTCCTGAACTACTGACATCAAGCAGTCTTTTTACCTTGGCCTCCCACAAATGCTGAGATTACAGGGGTAAGCCACCACATCCAGCCAACCTCATTATTCTTATAGTGGTAAAATATGTATTTAAAAGTTTGCCATCTTGACCATTTTTAAATGTAGACTACAGGGGCACTGATTACATTCCCAAAGTTGTGCAACTATCACCACTGTCTCCAAAAGCTTTTCATCACCCCAAACAGAAACTCTGTACACATTAAGCAATAACATCCTATTGCCCTGATTCCCTAGCCCCTGGTAACCTCTATTCTACTTTCTTTCTCTATGAATTTGCCCATCCTGGGAACCTCATATAACTGGAGTCATATAATACTTGTCCTTTGGGGTCTAGCTTATTTCTTTCTTTCTTTTTTAAGTTTCGCTCTTGTTGCCCAGGCTGGAGTGCAACGGCGGCTCACTGCAACCTCCGCCTCCCAGGTTCAAGAGATTCTCATGCCTCAGCCTCCCAAATAGCTGGGATTACAGGCGCCTGCCACCATGACCAGCTAACTTTTGTATTTTTAGTAGAGACGGGTTTTCACCATGTTGGCCAGACTGGTCTTGAGCTCCTAACCTCAGGTGATCTGCCCACCTCGTCCTCTCAAAGTGCTGACATTACAGGAGTGAGCCACCGCGCCCGCCTGCTTATTTCAAATAGCATAATGTTTTCAAGGCTCATCCGTGTTTGGGCATGTATCAGAATCACATTCCTTTTAATTGCAGAATAGCATTCTACAGTCTGGATACAGACATTTTGTTTGTCCATTCATCTGTTGATGGATACTTGGGTTGCTTCTACCTTTTGGCTACCGTGAATAACATTGTTATGAACACTGGTGTACAAATACCTGTGTGAATCCTTATTTTCAGTTCTTTGGGGTATACCCCCCAGGACTGGAATTGCTGAATCATATGGTTATTTTATGTTGGACTCTTTAGGAACTGCCATACTGTTTTCCATAGCAGCTGCACCATTTTACATTCCCACCAGCAACACAAGCTTTCCAATTTCTCTACACCCTTGTCAATGCTTGTTTGCTGGTTTTTAATTTTTTTAATTTTTTTTTTAACATTTTTTTTGTAGAGATACGGTCCCCTGTGTTGCACAGGTTGGTCTCAAACCTCTGGCTTCAAGCAATCCTTCCACCTTGGCCTCCCAACGTGCTGGGGTTATAAGCATGAGCCACCGTGCCTGACCCATACTCTATAATAATTTAACAATAAGAAATAGGGCTGAGTGTGGTGCGTCATACCTGTAATCCCAGCACTTTGGGAGGCTGAGGCAGAAGGATCTCTTGAAGCCAGTGGTTCGAGACCAGCCTGGGCAACATAGTGAGACCCCATCTCCATACAAACAAAAAAATGTTTTTTAACTAGCTAGATATGATGGTGGCCCTTTCCTGTACTCCTAGCTACTTGGGAGGCTGAGGCAGGAGCATCACTCGAGCCTAGGAGTTTAAAGGCTGCTATGAGCTATGATCGTGCCACTGCACCCCAGCCTGGGAGACAGAGTGAGACCCTGTCTCTAAAAGTAAATAAATATAAAATAATTAAATTATTATAGAGTATGATCTCATTTTAAGTTAACTAACTGCCTCTACAAAGACCCTATTTCCAAATATGATGACTGAGTTTCGCTCTTGTTGCCCAGGCTGGAGTGCAATGGCGCGACCTCAGCTCGCCACAACCTCTGCCTCCCCAGCTCGCCACAACCTCTGCCTCCCGGGTTCAAGCGATTCTCCTGCCTCAGCCTCCCGAGTAGCTGAGATTACAGGTGCATGCCACCACACCAGATAATTTTATCTTTTTAGTAGAGATGGGGTTTCTCCATGTTGCAGGCTGGTCTCCAACTCCCGACCTCAGGTGATCCACTTGCCTCGGCCTCCCAAAGTGCTGGGATTACAGGCACGAGCCACCGCGCCTGGCCCACAATTCACATTCTTATAACATCCTCCTTTACCCAACTCATGACCTTCTATTTATTCTTTATGACCGAGCTCAGAATTACCACCTGCCTTGGAACTATAACTACATAGTCCTCCCTTTTTGGATAAGGTTACTCTGTGCCTTCTCCATATTTCTATTCTAATTTTCACCACATTCTATTATAACTTACTTGAGAACTTTAGGTGAGGAGTTTTGTTTTACTCATCTCAGTATTTCTTTTTTCTTTTTTCTTTTTTTTTTTTTTTGAGATGGAGTCTTGCTCTGTTGCCCAGGCTGGAGTGCAGTGGTGCGATCTTGGCTCACTGCGACCTCTGCCTCCCAGGTTCAAGTGATTCTCCAACCTCAGCCTCCCGAGTAGCTGGGACTACAGGTGTGCACCACCATGCCCAGCTAATTTTTGTATTTTTAGTAGAGATGGGGTTTCACTATGTTGGCCAGGCTGGTCTCAAACTCCTGACCTCGTGATCCACCTGCTTCGGCCTCTCACAGTGCTGGGATTACAGGCATGAGCCACTGTGCTCAGCTCATCTCAGTATTTCTAGGCTGAACTCACAGTGGCTGCTTAACAAATGTTTATCAGTTTATAAACTGTTCGTTCCAATGCCTGCCCGCCCCCCACCCTTTCTTGAGCTTCATTTAATCTACCTGGAAGTTATCTTTCATCTTAGCTCAGGGAACTCACAAATTCATAAGCCAAATTTTTTGCATTCTCAAATATTTTCAAATCTCATAGAAATACTAGGTATAATAACCAAAGTGACCTCACATTGAATTCTCTTTTCAGGAATGATGCGACTATGTCCCTATGCTTTTCCAAAAAGCAAAGATTACATTTATCTCTGGAACCTATCTTCCTACCCAGCCATTCACATGTTATTGTCCAAAAGCCCACCTTTGTCCTCGAAGGGTGCTCTCAAGTAGCTTAAAGGAAACCACTCTTCAGAGAGAAAAATAAATTATAAGACCAAAACAGCAATTCAAAGACCCTGACATTCTCCGTAAAGTATAATAATTGATCAACTCTGCTAACCATAGCTGGGTAATCTCCAGAAAATGGAAATATCAATAGGAAAATAGACACTGGTACCTTAGAAAGGCACCATGGAGCCATGGCAGGTGCACAGGGAAGGTGAAGGAACACTTCTGCACTCAGGAGTAGCCAGAACCTTCATTGGGCATTTTGGATATTTATGCTGATACATTTGCCTGGTGGTCAAGGACTGGTTTAGAATGAATTGTGTCCCCCTCCCCAAACAGCAGCAGGTTGTCACAGGTGTAAAAAGGTGTAGTGCTCACTAAAGACTCATTACTAGAATGTAAGTAGTACGTCCCTGAACTGCGCTTTTTTTTTTTTTTTTTTTTTTAAGACAGAGTCTTGCTCTGTCACCCAGGCAGTGGTGCGATCTCGGCTCACTACAACCTCTGCTTCCTGGGTTCAAGAGATTCTCCTGCCTTAGTCTCCCGAGTAGCTGGGTTTACAGGCACGTGCCACCACACTTGGCTAATTTTTGTATTTTTAGTAGAGATGGGGTTTCTCCATGTTGGCCAGGCTGGTCTCGAACTCCTGACCTCAGGTGTTCTGCCCACCTCCACCTCTCAAAGTGTTGGGATAACAGGCATGCGCCACTGCGCCTGGGCCCTGAACTGAGCTTCTTTGGTGAGAGAGAGAGAGCAAGAATGAGTGAAAAGAGTGAATGGTGCTTTGTTTGGATAAATAGTTCTTCGTTTGTTTGTTTGTTGTTTGAGACGGAGTCTCGCTCAGTCGCCAGGCTGGAGTGCAGTGGCGCGATCTCGGCTCACTGCAACCTCTGCCTCCTGGGTTCAAGCGATTCTCCTGCCTCAGCCTCCTGAGTAGCTGGGACTACGGGCACGTGCAACCGCACCCAGCTAATTTTTGTATTTTTGGTAGAGACAGGGTTTCACCATGTTGGCCAGGATGGTCTCGATTTCTTGACCTCGTGATCCACCCACCTCGGCCTCCCAAAGTGCTGTTGGATAAATACTTCTTAAGTTTAGCCTGAAGCCTGAATACTTCTTAAATTACGTTTAGCCTCCTTACATAGTTAAGTTCAGCCTAACGCTTTCTCTATACAGTGAGCTGTTACCTACTGCTCCTATAAACAGACTAACCTACTCTAATAGCGAGTAACCGAGTCAGCCAATCGCAGCAACTGAGTCTCTGCCAATCACAGCAGCCGAGTGTTGGCCAATCACAGGCAGCCAGCTGTTCATACTGTGTTCACATAAGGCAAAGGCAGGGCTGTAACCAGCCAATCTGGCTGTTTCTGTACCTCGCATCTGTTTTCTGTAGAGCACTTCCCTTTTTCTGTCCATAAATTTTATCTGACCATGTGGCAGCCCAGAGTCTCTCTGAACCTATGCTGATTCTGGGAGCTGCCTGATTCACAAATCGTTCTTTGCTCAATTAAACACTTCAATTTATTTCTCTAGGGTTTTATTTTAATACTTTTCCACGGCTACCCCGCTTTTGCTACGTCCTTCTCTTTTGCTTTTCTGCACTTGCAATTTCAGTCACCTGAGTTTTCTCTAGAATCAAGATTTTTCAAGGCATCCAAGAATGACGACATTAAAATGAAGTAGGAAGACACAACAAAAGGAAAAATTGACCAAAAAATTTCCATATTTCCTGGCGACTCACACCTGTAATCGCACACTTTGGCAGGAGCCCAGGAGTTTGAGACCAGCCTGGGCAACAAAGTGAGACCCCATCTCTTTTTTTTGAGATGGAATTTCCCTCTTGTTGCCCAGGCTGGAGTGCAATGGTGCAATCTCGGCTCACCGCAACCTCCATCTCCCAGGTTCACGCGATTCTCCTTCCTCAGCCTCCCAAATAGCTGGTATTACAAGTGTATGCCACCACACCTGGCTACTTTTTTGTATTTAGTAGAGACGGGGTTTCACCATGTTAGTCAGGCTGGTCTGGAACTCCTGACCTCAGGTGATCCACCCGCCTCAGCCTCCCAAAATGCTGGGATTACAGGGGTGAGCCACCACGCCCGGCCGTGAGACCCTATCTCTTAAAAAACAAAACAAAACAAAACAAAAGCTGGTTATGGTGGTGCACACTTATGGAGGCTGCAGCAGGAGGATCCTATGAGCCTGGGAGATGGAGGCTGCCATGAGCTCTGATTGTGCCACTGCACTGCAGCCTGATTGAGAGAGCAAGACCTTGTCTCAAAAAAATGGAAAATTTTCACTGCTTCACAAAACTGAATAGCAGAAACTTAAAATGGTTTGGTGGTAGTAGCATGTGTATGTTACCTCTGAATTAAATGTTCCTGGCAAGTGACTTAATTGTGATATGAATATTACAATTTTTGTTAAGTAGAAACCAAAGTCCAGGCACAGTGGCTCACTTCTGTAATCCCAGCATTTTGGGAGGCTGAAGCAGGAGGATCACTTGAGCCCAGGAATTCGAGACCAGCCTGAGCAACACAGCAAGACCCTGTCTCTACAAAAAAAATGTTCAAAAATTAGCCAGGTGTGGTGGTGCGTGCCTGTAGTCTCAGTTACTCAGGAGGCTGAGGTGGGAGGATTGCATGAGCCTGGAAGTTCAAGGCTGCAATGAGCTGTGATCACACCACTGCCCTCCAGCCTGGGTGACAGAGTAAGACCCTGCCTCCAAAAAAAAAAAAAAAAAAAAAAAAAGCCAAATACCTGACACTTTCTGAGCAAGTGTCTGAGGAGTGGCTGCAGACCTGGAAGAAGGAAAAAGGAGGCGTGAGCATTTGGGGAACAGTGAGTAGATCGTTTCTGGTTTCAGAGTGACAAATTAGAGTGATTTCTTATAACCCAAGTTCTTTATAAAAGAGAACAGAAAAATCTGATCCAGCTGTTTTACCCAAATGGCTGGATCAGCATTTGAACTGGAGCCAAACTGACTCACAGTAACCTGAGACAGAGGCCCCCAGCCAGTTGGTGTAGCTCCCCTAGAATCATGTGGTGCTCCAAAATCCTAAAACTTTGAGGGCTTATACATAAATATTCCCACCCGTCAAAATTTGCCCAAAATAAAAAGAGTAGTCCTAGCAGACACTTAACTTCGGGAATCCTTTCCCAAAGACCCAAAAGTCCTTTGATTTCACCTGATGATCCCTGGACAGTGAGAAGGGAACTTAGCCCAGAACAGAGGTGTGAACATGAATAGAATTGCAACATCCTGACTAGGTCTGCATGGCTTTGGGCAAATCCCCAAGTAAACTCCCCAGTCTGCAAAATAAGTCAGTAAATAAATAAACAGTAGAAAAGAATAGGATGAAGCAGGAGGAAGAATGAATTAATGCCTGTTAAGCACCTTGGAAATGCAAAGCATTATTAATTGCAAAATAAAGTGCAGGATAACAAGTTCACTTTGGCTTCAGGGAGAAGGACTGTCAATTGCAGGAGCCATTAAAAGTCACAGGCTATAAAACAGGCAGTAATGTAGGCTTTGCCCTGCAGAATCATATAACCTTGCCTGAAATTAGCTGGTTATCCCAGTTCTGGACTGATCATATGAACACAGTTCATCCGTAGCCAGAAAAGCCCAGACAACTCCAAATAGAGATCTGCCTGACCTTCAGAGTTTGCCTACTCTCATTCCTGCAACAATCGTGGCCACTCCCTAGGCACCCACGTGGTCCCAAGTGCTCCTTGTGTGTGACATCATTCCAGTGGGACAATCCAGTAACAGAGGTTTCATTATCCCCATGAATCTAAAACGTAGACCAGTTAAGTAACTTGCCCAACATCAAACAACTAGTTAAGGGCAGAGGCAGAAACGGAAGGTCTGGTTCTGCTCAGCTGTCTTTCTGTGACAAGGAAAAGCCTTCATCGCTGACCCTCATTCCTGACTAATCCACTCTGGTCACCTCAAAACACCAATGCAGCATATGTTGTGTTATTTGAGCACTTGGCGTGAACTCCTGCCAAAAAAGCAGAAGAGTCGATGTTCTTTATTTCCATATTTCCTTCTGAGATTTTTGTTTGTTTGTTTCCTTGAATGTCTCTTGACTAGACTTTAGGGGAGGGGGTCTGGGGTGGACAGATAACTATTTTGTGCTCTAGAATGTCACCCTTGATTTCAAATCCTATGGGGAGTGTATTCGAAAAGGGAACAAAAAAATGTTCCTGAAGTCAGTTTGAAATGTTAGCAGGTTATGGATGAGTTCCTCCAATCAGGTAGATAGAAAGTAACATATCCCCAGCTAATTTGGAAACTAGAGATAAAATTCAGAACAGGTCAGAAGTGTCCTTCAGGCTGCCCCTGAGACTTCTGAGGGCTTCTTGCCTCTATATTCAAAGCATGCATAGATTCAAACTTTGGAGATTCTATCCTTGCACGGGACTGCGGTGGGGGCATCTTCAGGAGGGCGTGCCCCTTAGTGAGCTGGTGAGAGAGATCCCCTTTCCCCCTTGAAAGGGAGTGGGTGTGAGAAGTTCAGAGGAGGCATCTGCAGGAGCTGGAGTTGTATTAAAACATCAATGCCAAGTATTTTTAAAGAAACGGAGATGGCATCTGTGGGAGCTACTTGGAAAATACAGCCGTTTGTTGATTACCTGGAAAGGGGATAATGTAAAAGGATTAGGTGACCTAAAAAGCAGCTGGGCCAGACAAGGGCAGATGGCAGAGGAGTTCACGGCCCTTGGGGAGGACAATGAAAACCTAGACTAGAGGACAGACAAAACCAAAGGTTGGGGAGGTTGGTGCTGAGTGGCTTGGGAGAGGAACAGAAGAGCAAAATGAATCCCAACTGGCAGGGCTAAAATGTAACACCTGCTACGGTGACAAAAAAACAAAAACAAAAACAGAAGAAGAAGCAATTTTAGACCCCACAACAAATAGAGAAGTATATCTATAACAAGCAAAGGCACAACTATAGAAAGCCCCTCCCCATCCCTATTTGCCACCATCCGTATCAGCCGAGCTAATGATGGAAAGAGAAGCAACACTATCAGGCTAAGAATGCTCTGTGCCAGACCCTGCGCTGGGGGCTTTACATCTATCCTATGGTTGAAACTTCAGGCAGCCTTGCTACATAGGCTGTTAACAGCCTCTAACAGCCTCAAATCCGTATGGGTATGCAGCAACCTCAATTGCTTTTTGTTTTTGTTTTTGTTTTAGATGCAGTCTTGCTCTGTTGCCCAGGCTGGAGTGCAGTGGCGTGATCTTGGCTCACTGTAACTTCTGTCCCCCAGGTTAAAGGGATTCTCCTGTCTCAGCCTCCCGAGTAGCTGGATTACAGGCATGCGCCACCATGCCTGGCTAATTTTTGTGTTTTTAGTGGAGATGGTGTTTCACCGTGTTGGCCAGGTTGGTCGCGAACTCCTGACCTCAGGTGATCCGCCAGCCTCGGCCTCCCAAACTGCTGGGATTACAGGCGAGAGCCACCGCACCCAGCCAGCAACCTCAATTCTTGCCTCCTCAGAAGAAAGAATTAGACCGAGGGGCATAAGACAGAGGGAAAGACAGAGGCAAATTTTAGAGCAGGAGGGAAAAGTTTATCAAAAAGTTGTAGAGCAGGAACAAAAGGAAGTAAAGTACACTTGGAAAAGGGCCAATCAGGTGACTTGAGAGATTCAAGTGCATGGTTTACCCTTTGACTTGGGGTTTTATATGTTGGCATGCTTCCAGGGGCGGCATTACTTCTCCCCTGATGCTTCCCTTGGGGTGGGTTGTCCACGTGCACAGTGGCCTGCCAGCCCTTGAGAGGGCCACATGTACGGTGTGTTTATTGAAGTTGTGCGCATGTTGACTTGAGGTGTCTTTTGCTCACCAGTCGAGCGTTCCTGGAGGGAGGTCATATACCTTACCAGGGGAAGGACTGTCAACTGCAGAAATCGACTAGGTATGCTCAACTGGTAAGTTAAACTCTGCTATTTTGCCTTAGTACATATGCTTGAGCCCACTCACCCATCTCCTGAGATCTTATTGGGAAGCTGTTGATCACCAGTTTCAGGTGTTCTCTATCTATTGGGAGACTTCCTTTCCCTGGCACTGGCTGCAACCCATTATTATTTTATTTTATTTATTTATTTATTTATTTATTTTTTTGAGACAGAGTTTTGCTCATGTTGCCCAGGCTGAAGTGCAATGGCGTGACCTTGGCTTACTGCAACCTCCATCTCCCAGGTGATTTTCATACCTCACCCTCCCGAGTAGCTGGGATTACAAGCGTGCACCACCACGCCCAGCTAATTTTTGTATTTTTAGTAGAAATGGGGTTTCACCATGCTGGCCAGAATCTTGATCTCTTGACCTTATGATCTGCCCATGTTGGCCTCCCAAAGTGCTGGGATTATAGGCGTGAGCCACCACGCCCAGCCCCATTATTATCTTAGAGAGACAGTTTAACAACCGCCTGACCATCACCTGATGGTCTCCCAATGTTCCTGTTTGGGGGAGCCCTCTCCTGCCCTGCTCATGTCTGCCTAACTACCTACTGTAACATTCCTATATCAATTTTACAGATAAGCAAACTGATATTTGGAGGAGAAAAGTCTGAAATAGGAGCCAGTCAGTGAAGCACCAGCACAAGGAAGAAGTAGATGTGAAGGAGAGGAAAGGCATGTAAATGCCCAATCTCAGGGAAGGCGGAAGGTGCAGAAAGATCTAGACACAAGGGCATTGAAACAAAAGGAATGCTTGTCAGGGACTGCTTCCGTGCCTCAGCTGAGCAGCCCCTGGGCTCTGATACCCTACAGGGGATAGTTCTAAACCGCAGAAAGCTGTCATGAAATTAGCTCACCCTGAAATGATGCTTAATTGTTCTACAGAAACATCAGCGTGTCCCAACCAGGAGCAAGAGAGTTTATTGTCAGATGACTCAGTGGGGTAAAGAGGACTCCAAAGGAGCAGCACAGCAAGACAGGGGCCAAAGGGAAAAGGCCAAAAGAACAGACTAATGTGTGTATGTCTTTTTAAAAATTGGATAAAATGTCCAATTACTCTTGCCCAAATTATTCTTTGGAGGTTAGTAACAAGGAGGGAATCTAAGACCCGGCCCAAGATGTGAACCCTAGGGTAGCAGTGCTGATGAGTGCTGCATGGTACCGGGACTCTGTAGTGAGGGGCCACAACAATGCCCTGGCTGTTCAGCTTCTACTGTGAGTGCCAGTGTATGCAAATTTTATTGTCCAAAGCAAGTCAAGGGACCAAAGCTTGACAGTGGTGGGACAGGGGAAGTATAATCTTTCCCCCAGAGCGAGTAGTATAAATCATAAGAACAATTACAGACTCTCTCAAAAGGTAGACAGTGGGGGAGATTCAAATCATGATACGTAGTGTGTGTGTGTGTGTGTGGGGGGGTATATATATGTGTTTATGTGTATGTATGTGTGTATGTGTATCTGTGTATAGTCATGTGTGACTTAAAAACGGGAATACATTCTGAGAAATGTGTCACTAGACAATTTTGTCCTTGGGTGAACATCACAGTGTACTTACACAAACCTAGATGGCATAGCCTACTGAACACCTAGGCTGGATGGTGCAGCCTATTGCTCCCAGGCTACACACCTGCACAGCATATTACTGTACAGAATACTGTAGGCAACTGGAACACAGTGGTAAGTATTTGTGTATCTAAACATAGAAAGATAATGCATTACACTGGGACATTACCAGAGCTACCACATCATTAGGTAAGAGGAACTTTTCAGCTCCATTATAATCCTGTGGGACCACCATTGTATATGGGGTCTATAGTTGATCAAAACATTGTTACGCAGCACATGACTATGTATACATATAATTTTAATTATTTCTGTTTATTTTAAGTGTTTATTTTCAGCTGGGTCATTGAAGAGTTTCTAACAGACATCATGACACTTCACTCCCAAAAACATCGGCACTTCCAGGAACAAGGAGGTCCTCCTGCATAACCACAGCACAGGGACCATGTTGGGAAGCTTAGCACAAACTTAGCACTACTACACAGCCCATAATGAAGTTTCCCCAAGTGTCCCAAGAATGATCTTTAGAGCTGGCCCAGGGCCTTTTAGGTGAGAAGACAGTCCCAAAGCCCCACACATTTTTTCTTGCTGTTCTCTACATACTCAAATAAATGAATGTTCCCTTGTCAACAATTAACTGGATGAGAAAAAGCAAATTCACATGCCTTTAAAAACAGAAAAAAAGGCTGGGTGCGGTGGCTTACGCCTGTAATCCCAGCACTTTGGGAGGCCGAGGCAGGTGGATCACCTGAGGTCAGGAGTTCGAGACCAGCCTGGCCAACGTGATGAAACCCCATCTCTACTAAAAATACAAAAATTAGCTGGATGTGGTGGCAGGCGCCTGTATTCCCACCTACTCTGGAGACTAAGGCAGGAGAATCGCTTGAGCCTGGGAGGCGGAGGTTGCAGTGAGCTGAGATCGTGCCATTACACTCTAACCTGGGCAACAAGAGCAAGACTCTCTCAAAAAAAAAGGAAAAAAGAAAAAAGACACAAGAATTTTTAAAATGGTAATTTATAATTTATCAAGCTATACATACGGATACATCAATTTCTAACAGATATAGATCAACATATTCCCACTATCTAGGTAGATGTGTTCAGTTTTGCTAATTGAAACAAGCCCAGTTACTAAGACGTGGATGGGAAGTATCTTTACATTTTCTTTTGACTCTAAAATCTGTGGTCTGCGATTCTTCAAAAATATCAGCCTATTTAGAATGTGGACTCTTTTTATGTTGAGCTTATGAATCGTGTCTCAATCACTTATTCATCCCCACTAATTATTACTATAGCTGGCACATAGAAACTCAATGGACCCGGGCGCGGTGGCTCACACCTGTAATCCCAGCACTTTGGGATGCCAAGGTGGGTGGATCACCTGAGGTCAGGAGTTCAAGACCAGCCTGGCCAACACAGTGAAACCCCATCTCTACTAAAAATACAAAAATTAGCCAGGCGTGGTGGTGCGCACCTGTAATCCCAGCTACTTGGCAGGCTGAGGTAGGAGAATCACTTGAACCTGGGAGTAGAGGTTGCAGTGAGACAAGATCACACCACTGTACTCCAGCCTGGGCAACAGAGCAAGACTTGTCTCAAAAAAAAAAAAAGAAAGAAAAAAGAAACTCAATGAACTACTAGGTGAATGGATGAATGAACACTTTCTTGAGTCCTCAAGGCAGTCCTCCTTCCCTGCCCTATCTCTGCTAGTTTGCAGATATGACTTCTGTGTCTTGTCACGGTTTTGCTGCAATTTTATATATATATATATATATATATATATATATATATGCAGTTTAATAAATGCACAAAGAAAGATGACCACAACTTGGAAAATCAGTCCTAGCTTGGCAGAGGCATGATATTATTGGAATCACAACAAATCTTAATCACTGCAGGTCTTAACTGTTACTACACTATATCAAGAGGCAGGGAACCAAGAGTGAGTGGGATAATTTGCCCTGCACACCTCCATCCCTTCTTCAAAACAGAAACCTTGTGTTAGGCAGCTGGTGGTGAAAGCTATGGCAGCTATAAACCCTTCTTTAAAAAAAAAAATAGTCCACTTGGTTTCCTTTTGGGCTTAAGCGAAACCCTCACTCTGGGAGCCTGCCCAGTTAGGCAAGAGAAAAAATAAAACACCTTCTCTCAATGTGAGAAGAATGCCTTCTATTAGAAAGGCTCCTCAAACATCCTTGGGTCAGGTTCTGCCTTTGGTCAAAAGTGACTTTTTATTGATTAAGAGGAAGAAAGAGGCACAGGGGCTTTTTGTCAAAGGCACCTTTAGTCTTGTATCAGTTTATCCTTTGAAGAATCACACCATGTCATTACCTATAAATAAATCACAAATATATGGATCAAATATCTCAAAGCTACTGAAGGTATACCACACCTGAGTGTGGCTATGTATAAAAAAGAAAAAAAATTATTATTTGATCCAAACAAAAATACTCTGTTAATATGTCGTGAGCTGACAACTGAAATTCATTACAGACATATAGCCTTATATAGGGGTTTTAATTCATTATTTTAATTTCCTTTTTTTTTTTTTTTTTTTTTTGAGACAGTCTTACTCTGTTGCCCAGGTTTGGGTGCAGTGGCGTGATCTCGGCTCACTGCAACCTCCACCCCCTGGATTCAAGTGATTCTCGTGCCTCAGCCTCCCAAGTAGCTGGAATTATAGGTGTGCACCACCACACCTGGCTAATTTTTGTATTTTTAGTAGAGACGGGATTTCACCATGTTGGCCAGGCTGGTCTTGAACTCCTGGGCTCAAGTGCTGAGATTACAGGTATGAGCCACCACGCCCAGCCCGAAATTTCTTTCTAATTACACAAGTAACATCTAAGTGCATGAACACACACACATGCACAATTATTATTATTATTTTCTTTAAAAAAAAAGACAAGGCCTCTCTCTGTCGCCCAGGCTGGAGTGCAGCGGCATGATCCTCAGTTACTGCCGCCTCAAACTTCTGGGCTCAAGTGATCTTCCCACCTCAGTCTCCCAAAGTACTAAGATTACAGGCATGAGCCACGGCACCCAGCTCTGCAAAAATCTTTCAAACAACTTGGGATTGAAAGTCCTCTTGATTTTCCCACTCTAATCCCTCTGCCTTTCTAGATGCTTATCACAGGTATTGTGGGTTGTGCTAGCTCTTTCTCTTTTGCGTATGCATAAATAATGGAGAAACGAAATCTAGACCACACGTGCTATTCTGTCCCTCAGTTTATTCTCTTCATGTGTCTTAGAGATCTTTCTTCACTCAAGAAAATTGAAAGGTGACCTGGGCCAGTGGTTTGTAACTGGGCGGCCTAAAGCCCTAAGGATTCTGTAGAGAGGACCTTGAAGACTGCCCCAGGAGCAAAGAGGAGCTCCAGAGACCCCACAAAAGGAAAGAATTGATCCAGTTTAATTCCTTTGTCTTTGCCTTCTGCTAAGAGATAAAGATTCCTGAGAAGAGTTAGACGTGTATAGTTGGGTTTCACTGGCATTTGTTTTCTTGAGAGCAATTTTAGGGCAAGGGTGGAGAGTAACATGGAATTGCCTCAGTTTCTCCAATATGATCAGTCTAAAGAAAGCAAGAATTAGGAAAGGCCAGAGATAGAAACAGACTCTGCTCCATGAAGGACAATAATCCATGTATTCATCTCAGGTCTTATGTATGGCTATGTATAACATCTGTGCAACCAGGAAATCACTACCCATGTACATTTGAAATCTTCTCTGGTTTTCCTCTAAGTCCTGGATTCTAGATCTTTCTGTACTCCTTAAAAGGAGTTTTGGGCTTAGGAAGAGCAATATAGAAAGACCTAGAATTTCTCCCTGGAAATTGTCTTCCTAGACATTGTATTCATGTCCAGGAAGAATGGGACAAAATCTGACCAGACAGGCCTGCTCCAGTCTAAGGGAAACTTCCTTTTGCGGCCAGGTAAACTGACCATCTGGAAAATCTTTGAATCAAACAGAAGCATAAGAAAAAACATCTCTAAAACACCAATGTACTAGACAGCCCCAGAAGCAAAGCTTCCTCTCTAAGTGTCACAGTGCCTAGTTGTGTGCAAAGGCAAGTGGCTGGAGGGTGCTATCCGCAGTGGGAAACCCTAGCAAGTCACTGAGGTCTTCTAAAACTCCAAGTCTTCATCTATGTAACTGAGATAATAACTGCTGATCTCATAGGTCACTGTCAGGAGTAAATGAGTGACGATGTCTAACTTCTAGTGTAGTGCCTGACATGTACCATTACAGATTGAATTCTGTGCCCCTATATTAGCCCATTCTCATGTTGCTACAAAGAACTACCTGAGACTGGGTAATTTACCAAGAAAAGAGGTCAAGGGTATAGTGAACCACGATTGCATCACTGCACTCTAGCCTGGGTGACAGATTAAGACCCTGTCTCAAAAAAAAAAAAAAAAATTTATAAATTAACCAAGCATGATGGTACATATGTATAGTCCTAGCTACTTCAGAGGCTGAGGTGGAAGGACAGCTTGAAGCCAGGGGTTCAAGACCAGCCTGGGCAACATTAGCAAGCCTCCATCTCTAATAAATAAATAAATAAATAAATAAATAAATAAATAAATAAATAGAATCATCATATGATCCAGCAATTGAAGCAGGATCTTGAAGACATATTTGCACACGCATGTTCACAACAGCACTATTCACAATAGCCAAGAGGTGGAAGTAGCCCAAATGTCCATCCGTGGATGAACAGATAAAGCAGATGTGGTCTATACATACCATGGAATATTATTCAGCCTTAAAAAGAAGGAAATCCTGTCCTATGCTACAACATGGATGAATGTTGAGGACATTGTCCTAGGTGAAATAATCCAGAAGAAAAACACAAATACTGCATGACTCCACTTACATGAGGTCCCTGGAGTAGTCAAATTATGGAAACAGAAAGTAGGATGGTGGTCAGGGTAGCGGGAGAGGGAATGGAGAGTTGTTCAATGGATACAGAGTTCCAGTTTTGCAGGATAAAAAAGTTCTAGAGGCCTATTACACAACAATGTGAGCATAATTAGCACTAGTGAACTTAAAAATGGTGAAGAGGATAAATTTTTTTTTTTTTTTGAGACGGAGTTTCACTGTTGTAGCCCAGGCTAGAGTGCAATGGTGTGATCTTCGCTCTCCGCAACCTCTGCCTCTCAGGTTCAAGCAATTCTCCTGTCTCAGCCTCCCGAGTAGCTGGGACTATAGGCATGCACCACCACACCCAGCTAATTTTGTATTTTTAGTAGAGATGGGGTTTTCCGTGTTGGTCAGGCTGGTCTCCAACTCCCGACCTCATGTGATCCACCTGCCTCGGCCTCCTAAAGTGCTGGGATTACAGGTGTGAGCCACCGTGCCTGGCCGAAGAGGGTAAATTTTGTATTATGTGTTGTTTACAATTTCAAATACATGTGTAGATATATAAATGCACATATCTCATAAAATATACATATAAATGCATACATTTATGTTCTATTATTCCAGCATGATTCCTTTACAATATTATTGCATATAACAATGTAATAAACATTATGCCAGGCGTGCTGGCTCATGCCTGTAATCCCAGCACTTTGGGAGGGAGGCCAAGGTGGGCAGATCACTTGAGGTCAGGAATTCGAGACCAGCCTGGCCAACATGGTGAAACCCCTTCTCTACTAAAAATACAAAAATTATCTGGGCATTGTGGCACACGCCTGTAATCCCAGCTACTCAGGAGTCTGAAGCATGAGACTGGCTTGAACCCGGGAGGCAGAGGTTGTGGTGAGCCAAGATCGCACCACTGCACTCCAGCCTGGGTGACAGAGTGAGATTCGGTCTCAAAAAAAAAAAAAAAGAAAAATTATTAGAGGTTTGCTATTTAACTTTTTAAACTTAACCAAATCAGGATTTTAATAAATAATAACATTTAATGTCTATTGATATACATTCAAAATATATAAACTATTTTATTTATGTATTTATATTCATTTATACTGTCAACAGTCAATTCTTATCGTAAGTGATTAAAAAAATAACTTGTAAGAAACTGAACATTCTGATCCTGTTTTCATAACAATATTAGCTAATATTCATTGAAAGCTGACTCTGTTTCAGGTACTATTCACACGTATGTGTGTGTGTGCACACACGTGTGTGTATACATATATACAGTTTTTTGTTTTTTTTTTGAGACAGTGTCTTACTCTGTCACCCAGGCAGAAGTGCAGTTGTACAACGATGGTTCACTGTAGCTTCAACCTCCCCAGGCTCAAGTGATCCTCCCACGTCACCTTCCCAAGTAGCTGAGGCTATAGGAGGGCACCACCATGCTTGTCTAATTTTTGTGTTTTTAGTAGAAATGGGGTTCTGCCAAGTTGCCCAGGCTGCTCTCGAACTCCTGGGCTCAAGCGATCTGCCCACCACTGCCTCCTAAAGTGCTGGGATCACAGGAGTGAGCCACCGCACTCAGCCAAAAGGAGGTTCTGCAATGCCATTCCTGTCTGTGTGATTCTGTGAAAAGACTTCAAGAACTATGTTCCTGCACACACCTCCATAAAAGTAGCCATCTATATACATGTGTACATACATGTATAAGTACAAGGTGACATACATAAGGACAGAAGAAGTGGGGTCAGCAATTGCATGTTTAAAGGAGCTGAGAAGTAGAGCAGAGAGAGCCTGGATTTTAGAGCCAGATTTCTGTTCACTCTTTGCTAGCGAAGGGGAGACTGAGCAGAGTGTTAATAGACACACACACACACGCACACACCCTCTAAACAAAGCGGACCCTTCCTGAGAACAGGATAATGATAATGACGACACCCGATGATGATGATGCGCAAATCCACCACCAGTGCTGGATTCTCCCGTCTGTTCTGAATGTCTTGCCCACAGAAGTGTATACATTTTTCTAACTACCTTCCAAGATCTTTACCCAAGAGAACCTGACAGCTTTGTCCACCTCTGTCCCTGCAAGGAGCTCAATCAAGCAGCTCTCTATCTCTCCCTGTCATGTTTTCTTGCCTCACTCCTACCCCAGCCGAGGGCTTAGTGCAGACTACTAGGAAAACCATCTCAGAGAAATCAGCGGAGAGCCTGTTTACCAAGCAACACTGCACAGCCCAGGCAAGGACTCCTTTGAGAAATGGGAAACCATCAGGACGGTGGATAGAATGAACCCGATTTCCCATTATTTTTTTCAAATAAATGGAGTCCAGTTTGCTTCCACTATAATCCAGGCATAACATTTATATGAGAACATAAAATACTACACAGCTGTAAGTAAAACAATATGTGTGTTCCTGAATAATAGTGATACCACTTGCCAGTAAGACTATATTTTGATCAAATAAAAGATGACCTAAATTTGACTCAGTGGGATGGGATTTACTACACGATCGCTTCTTGAAAATTAAGGGATAGAGAGAGGGGGCTTTCATGAGGGTAGAAGGAAATGGACAAGGAGAACAAGAGAAAAACAGGATGGAAAGTTAGATGCCCCTCGCTGAGTTTGAAAGCGCACTTTGTAAGAAGAATAAAGAGCATTTGACTTCACACGTCTAGTGCGTCCCTCCCAAATAAAACCTTATTTTATATCAGACACCCACACTGCAGAGTCCCACATATGCTGACATCCAAGTCTCCAGTCTACAGTGATTTTTATGCATTCCTTCACTCCCTCTTTCATTCATATGTATGATGGTTGCACAAATATGTATTGTGGACTTAATATGTAACAGGCTCTCTGGTAGGATGGGAAACAGATCCTGCCCTGAGCCAGTTTACAACCCTGTGGGGAGGGCACCAAGGGAACAGGCTATTTCAGTCTAGTGTGATAAGGGCCATGACGGGAGAAACCTCAATACAGTGTGCTCAGAACCTGCAGAGGCAGCGCAAGGGGTCCCGAGGCCACACATGAGAGGATGCTACATGACCAGAGGAACCAAACTTGGTAACGCTGGAGGTGGATTCAGAAGAAAGAGAAAATCCCAGCACTTTGGGAGGCCAAGGCAGGAGGATTGCTTATGGCCAGGAGTTCAAGACCAGACTGGGCAACATAGTGAGACCCTATCTCTAAGAAAAGAAAAGAAACGAAACAAAACGAAAAGAGGACTGGCCAGCTGCGGTGTTTCATGCCTGTAATTCCAACACTTTGGGAGGCCGAGGCGGCAGATCACCTGAGGTAAGGAGTTCGAGACCAGCCTGGCCAACGTGGTGAAACCATGTCGCTATTAAAAATACAAAAATTATCTGGGTATGGAGGTACATGTCTGTAATCCCAGCTACTCAGGAGGCTGAGGCAGAAGAATCGCTTGAACCCAGGAGGCAGAGGTTGCAGTGAGCCAAGATCGTGCCACTGCACTCCAGCCTGGGCAACAGAGTGAGACTCCATCTCAAAATAAATAAATATTTTAAAATTTAAATAAATAATTAGCTTGGCATGGTGGCATGCAGCTGTAGTTCCAGCCACTCTGGAGGCTGAGATGGAAAGATGGCTTGAGCCCAGGAGGCAGAGGTTGCAGTGAACTGAGATTGCACCACTGCACCCTAGCCTGGGCAACAGAGTGAGACAAAAACCAAAAGGAAAAGAAAAAGGAAAAGTAGAGCACTGCCACAGGCAATTCCAGCCAAGGAAGGGGGAACACAGAAGGAAGAACACAGCGTTTCCCTTTAACAGCTCTGGCCAGTTGTTGCACACCTCACTACTCCCCACAGGCTATTGGCTACAACTTAGTCACATGACCACACCTGGCTTCCACAAAGCTGGAAATACAGTTCTTATTCAGGGCAGCCACGAGCACAGATAAACACTTGTATGACATGGAAGCAAGGGAAATGTACATTGGGAGGAAACCAGCCCTCTGTGCCACAGCGTCCGAGCCCTCCTCTTCCTCTTGTCCTGTCTGAGATAGACAGAGGCTTTAAAGGGTTTTCCAGGAAACCCCTGGAGAACATGATACACATTCATATGCATGCACACACAAACCCAAATGCAATACAATAATTAACCATAAGTTTTTCATTAAAAAAAAAAAAGGTAAAGAATGAAAACTTACAGCAGAAGACTCAAGGCTGTAGCAAAGAGGCTGGAGCAGGCTCTCTCTGCGGGCACAGATCTAAAGGGGGATGCAGAGGGGCATTAGCTAGGAATAATGTGAAGGTAGATGGAGCCCCCATCACCTTCCCCTCTCCTGAGTTCTCCCCCACTGCGTCATTTGCCCCTTATCACCAACTCTTCCACTGGATCCAAACATGCTCAAAGGCATTGCTCTGCTAACAAAAACAGCATAAGCACACCATTAGGATGTACAAGCATTTCTGGAAGTGTCAAAGGAACCAAACTCCTCCCAGCTCAATGATTGATTAGCTAAATAAACTTGAGCTAGATGTATATTTTCTTTGTGCATCAATTTCCTCCAAATCCAATAGAGACTAAAAAATACTTGCTTTACCTTCTTCATAGGCTTGTGGAGGGAACCAGGGAAATGGGATATCTATGTGTTTGTTTTCTATTTCTGTGTAACAAATCACCACACACTCTGTGGCTTAAAACAATAGCTATTTATGGTCGGGTGCAGTGGCTCATGCCTGTAATCCCAGCACTTTGGGAGGCCGAGGCGAGCAGATCACGAGGCCAGGAGATCGAGACCATCCTGGCTAACACGGTGAAACCCCGTCTCTACTAAAAATACAAAAAAATTAGCCGGGCATGTTGGCGGGCAACTGTAGTACCAGCTACTCCGGAGGCTGAGGCAGGAGAATGGCGTGAATCCGGGAGGCAGAGCTTGCAGTGAGCCAAGATAGTGCCACTGCATTCCAGCCTGGGCGACAGAGCGAGACTCCGTCTCAAAAAAAAAAAAAAAAACCAATAGGTATTTATTTATTTATTTATTTTTATTTATTTGTTTGAGACAGGGTCTCGCTCTGTCGCCCAGACTAAAAGTGCAGTGGCACGATCTTGGCTCACTACAACCTCCGCCTCCTGGGCTCAAGCAATCCTCCGACCTCAGCATCCCAAGTAGCTGAGACTACAGGTATGTGCCACCACGCCAGGCTAATTTTTTTTTTTTTTTTTTTTTTTTTTTTTTTTTTTTTTTTGAGACAGAATCTCACTGTGTCGCCCAGGCTGGAGTGCAGTGGCACGATCTCGGCTCGCTGCAATCTCCACCACCCGGGTTCACGCCATTCTCCTGCCTCAGCCTCCCGAGTAGCTGGGACTACAGGTGCCCACCACCATGCCCGGCTAATTTTTTTTTTGTATTTTTAGTACAGACGGGTTTTCACCATGTTATCCAGGATGGTCTCAATCTCCTGACCTTGTGATCCGCCAGCCTCAGCCTCCCAAAGTGCTGGGATTACAGGCGTGAGCCACTGCGCCCGGCCCACGCCAGGCTAAGTTTTGCAGAGACAGGGTTTCGCCATGTTGCCCAGGCTTGTCTCGAACTCCTGAGCTCAAGTGATCTGCCCGCCTTGGCCTCCCAAAGTGCTGGGATTATAGGTGTGAGCCACCGCGCCTGGCTGAAACGATACCCATTTATGATCTTATTGTTTCCATAGGTCAGAAATCCGGGCACAGAGTAACTAGATTCTGTGTTCAGGGTCTCACTGGCTGAAGCCACGGTGTCAGCTGGGGCTGCCTTCTCAGCTGGGGCTGGGATACTCTTCCAAGCTGAGGTTGGCAGAATTCATTTCCTTGTGAGTGTAGGACTGAGGGCCCCTTTTTCCCTCGAGGGTTGGCAGGAATGGCTGTCAGCTCCTCGTGGCTGTCTGCAGTTCCTAGCCATGGGGATGCTGCAAGGTAGCTCCTCATTCTGTCTTCTTTTCCTGTTTAAGTTGATTATGTTCCAAGCAACGCTCCTTCAGAGGAATCTGATTAAACTGGCTGAGGGTCAGACATGGTAGCACACACCTGGAATCCCAGCACTTTGGGAGGCCAAGGCGGGAGGATCACTTGAGCCCAGGAGTTTGAGACCTGCCTGGGCAACATACCTGAATGCTTTTCCTTCCTCTGGTACATTCCATACCAAAAAGATGAGATGGCCTCATGACAGGAGTAAGGACTTTGGAGTCGGGTAAATGCGGATTCAGATTTTCTCTCCAACACTTCCTAACTGAATGCTACTCAGCCTCTCTAACTCATGACTTCCTCCTCTGTACATTTGGGATAATACCAACCACACAGGGATGTTGGGGGATGAAATGACATAGGATTCATGGGAACTCAATGGTACCATATTCATAGCATACGGCAGGTGTGGGCTCCAGGCCCTTCCCGCTTCCCCATCTCCTATTCCACATCATTATCTCCTTTTCTTTCTCCCTCCCTCCCTATCTTTCTTCCTTCCTTCCTCCATTTCAAAGAACAGCTAAAACTGGTGATGCAGAAATGACTACAGTAAAGCTGACCCTAAAACAACACAGAGGTTAGGGGCACTGTCCCCACACACATTCAAAAATCCATGTCTGACTTTGTTTTGGAGAGCTTTTTTTCTTTAAGATAGGATCTGGCTCTATTGCCCAGGCTGGAGTGCAGTGGCATGATCTTGGCTCACTGCAGCCTATGCCTCCCGGGCTCAAGCCATCCTCCCACCTCAGCCTCCTGAGTAGCTGAGACTACATGCGCATGCCACAAGGCCCCGCTAATTTTTGTATGTTTTTGTAGAGATGGAGTTTAACCATGTTCTCCAGGCTGGTCTCGAACTCCTGAGCTCAAGTAATCTGCCCACCTCAACTTCCCAGTGCGCTGGGATTCTAGGTGTAAGCCATGACACCCAGCCCCATGCATAACATTTTTTTTTTTTTTTTGGACGGAGTCTCACTCTTGTCCTCCAGGCTGGAGTGCAGTGTCGAGATCTCATCTCACTGCAACCTCCGCCTCCCGAGTTCAAGTGATTCTCCTGCCTCAGCCTCCCAAGTAGCTGGGATTACATGCCCCCGCCACTGTGTCTGGCTAATTTTTGTATTTTTAGTACAGATGGGGTTTCACCATAATGGCCAGGCTGGTCTCAAACTCCTGACCTCGTGATCCATCCATCTCAGCCTCCCAAAGTGCTGGGATTACAGGCGTGAGCCACTGCACCCAGCCCATGCATAACTTTTGACTCCCCAAAAACTTAACTACTAATAGCCTACTGTTGACTGGAAGCCTTACCTACCAATAACATAAACAGTCGATTAACATATATTTTTGAATGTTGTATGCATTATACACTGTATTCGTACAATAAAGTAAGTTACAGAAAAGAAAATGTTATTAAGAAAATCATGAGGAAGAGAAAATATATTTGCTATTGATTAAGCGGAAGTGGATCATCATAAACGTCTTCATCCTCCTCATCTTCATGTTGAGTAGGCAGAGGAGGAAGAGAAGAGGAAGGGGTGGTCTTTTTGTTTTTGTTTCTGTTTTTTTTCTTTGAGATGGAGTCTTGCTCTGTTGCCCAGGCTGGAGTGCAGTGGCACAATCTCGGCTCACTGCAAGCTCCACCTCCCAGGTTCATGCCATTCTCCTGCCTCAGCCTCCTGAGTAGCTGGGACTACAGGCACCCACCACCAGGCCCGGCTAATTTTTTTTGTATTTTTAGTAGAGACGGGGTTTCACCGTGTTAGCCAGGATGGTCCCGATCTCCTGACCTGGTGATCGTCCCGCCTCAGCCTCCCAAAGTGCTGGGATTACAGGCGTGAGCCCTCCCCGCCCGGCCCGGAAGGGTTGGTCTTGATGTCTCAGGGCGACAGAGGCAGAAGAGATAGAGGAGGTGGGAGGGGAGGCAGGAGAGGCAGGGTAACTTTTATTAAAAACAAATCCATGTATAAGTGGACATGCGCAGTTCAAACCTGTGTTGTTCAAGGTTCAACTGTGTATCACATTGGAAGATAACTACCTTGTAATTGCATCCAAACCCATTCCACTTGAATGCCAACATTACAAGAACTCTGGTAAATGGAGTTTTGATACCAACCAATCATTTCCACATGGAACTATTAGCATGATAATCCTGTTCTCTCATTGTCCTGATAACGTTTTTTATACTTTTCTTGAAAAATGTACTTGGACTGCGTTCTCACATAGTTACTACACTCTAACAGATTTATGCTCCTTAGAAGAATGGGTCTAGTCAGGGAAGTGTTCCAAATCTGCCTCTTACAGAGATGCTCAGGGTAAAAGAAAGATTAGTGGTCAAAAGTAATGTAACTAAAACGTGGAGGCTGCCCCGGGGGAAATGTTAAGGACTGCCTGGCACAAGCAAGCACCTTCTGGCAAACTTCTCAAAGTGCTGAAATAGAAAGCTCAAGAGTCACCTGCTTAAGTAATGGTCTCCAAGGCAAAATATCGGGAGTCCTGTTCAGCCACCACAATGAGCTATTATATGTATGTGGCACAGATGTAACATGAGAATTATACCAGTCACAAGGTTGCTTTTTTTTTTAAATGCATAAAGCATGATTCTAACTTGGTGTTGTTTTTTGCAAACATGATGTTGATCACATGAGAAGGGTTTCAGAAGCAAGACTTGTTTATTTAACATTTTTAGGCTCAAGAAATCACCAATACATTGATGCAAACACCAGCTCTGGAGAAGAGAATTGTCAATAGGGGCCTCCGGCCCTCCTCTCCAATGCTGAGATGCCTTCTTCATCATGGTGCTAAGGAGGGTCCCAGGGAAAGTATAACATATCCACTGAATTCTAACAGTCAACGGAGAGTCCAGCAGCTCAGGCAGATCATGCCAAAGTCAAGCCCCCTTCAGTAAAAAGGCCCATCTATAAATCGTTAGAGACTGTGGGTGCCAAGAAAGCTACCGGATTAGTTCAGCATAATAGGCAGAAAGCTTGCATTTGCCAAATGCTTTACAACCATTTTTTATGAAGTATTATGCATAATACCCTGGGAGATAAATGAACAATATAATCACCATTTTATAACTAAGGAAGCAGACACCCAATGAAGGTGCTCTGGAAGTTAGTAGCAAACTAATGCTAGAAACCCTTGACCAAACTCCCTGGGTCAACATTTTTTTTCTTTTTTTTTTGTTCTGTCACCCAGGCTGGAGGGCAGTGGTGCTATCATAGCTCACTGCAGCCTTAACCTCCGAGGCTCAAGCAATCCTCCCACCTCAGCCTCTCAAATAGCTGGGACCACAGGCATGCACCACCATGCACCACCATGCCCCACTACTTTTTAAATTTTTTGTAGAAACAAGGTCTCACTATGTTGCCCAGGATGGTCTTGAAACCCTGGGCTCAGGCAATTCTCCTGCCTCTGTCTCCCGAAGTGTTGGGATTACAGGCGTGTGTCACCGTGCCTGGCAACATTCTTTCTAGTAAACTACTTTGCCTCATACAAGCATGTCCTTACACTGACTTAAAACAAGGGTATACATTTAAAATCTAGGTACAGTGGTGTGTACCTGTTGTCTCAGTAACTCAGGATACTGAGGCAGGAGGATTGCCTGAATTTAGGAGTTTAAGTCCAGCCTGGGCAACAGAGCAAGACCCCATCTCTAAAAAATAATTTATTATTTTTTATGTGTGTGGCAGAGTTTCGCTCTTGTTGCCCAGGCTGGAGTGCAATGGTGCGATCTCAGCTCACTGCAACCTCCGCCTCCCGGATTCAACTGATTCTCCTGCTTCAGCCTCCTGAGTAGCTGGGATTACAGGCATGTGCCACCAGGCCCGGCTAATTTTTGTATTTTTAGTAGAGAGGGGTTTCACCATGTTGGCCAGTCTGGTCTCGAACTCCTGACCTCAGGTGATCTGCCCGCCTCAGCCTCCCAAAGTGCTGGGATTACAGGCGTGAGCCACTGCACACGGCTAAATTTTTTTTTTAATTTTAAAAATATCAAAGTTTAAAATCTGAGCCTGAGCGAAATCCATCTTTGTGAATTGCACCTTAGGCCTTAAGAGGAGAAAGTCTACTTCCTGCTACGATACAGAACTAATTGATTGATACCAAGTGTATTAGTTAGGGTACAGTCACAGTTGCACTAATTGATTGATACCAAGTGTATTAGTTAGGGTACAGTCACAGTTGCTGTAATAAGGGGACCCCGAAACACAGGGACTTAAACACTTAAATACTCTCTCATATAATAGTCCAGAGGTGCACTGTCCAAAGCTGGCGGGGTAGCTCTACCATCCTTAATGTGTGGCTCACAGAAGTTGTATCCACCCACCTTCACTCACATCCCATTGGTCAGAACAGTCACTTGGCCACAAACAAGACCAAAAATGTAGTCTGGTTGTATAGCCAAATACCCGGCAAAAATTTAGGAGTTGTATAAGGAAAGGAAGAGTGGATATTGACCGACAAAGAGTGGTCATTGTCTCACAACATGTAAGAGGCAAAGATTTCCAATCCTCAGATTCGGTGTTCACCTTCCCTGCTCCAATGGGGAAAACTTGACAGAGCAATGTCAACCCTGAGAGAATGGGAGGGAATTGGGTGTCAAACAGGCATGATATTAGGACCCAGGTGGGCTGCATGCTGATACCTGCTCTGCCATATGTTAGCTGTGAGATCTCAGGCAAGACATTGAAATTCAGCATCTCAGTTTCCTCATCTGTAAAATAAACAACTTGATAGATGAGATTACCTCTACATCTTACATGTAATGATGTCAGGGTCAACAGTATAACAGGGTAGACTTTGTAACATACCATATCCCCTCAAGTTGACCAGTAAATAACCAGAACTCACATCACATGTTTTTAGTCTTAAATGGAATGTATATAATGGACTTATCTTATGAAAATAATTGCATGATTTAGTATGTAAATAAGTCTTGTGTGTTTGTAAAGCTTTAGTCGTATGGAAATATTTACCAGTCCTACCCACAAGTTAAAAACAAACAAAAGCTGAAGTTTTCTTATACAAACTTTCAACTAATTTCAATAAGAAATGGGAATACAGGTTGAGTATCTCTTATCCAAAATGCTTGGGACCAGAAGTATTTCGGATTTTGAATTTTTTCAGATTTTGGGGTATTTATATATACATAATATATACATATTATATACATAATATCTACATAATACTATTTTTTATATATTATGTATATATTATGTGTATATATTATATATTATTTATATAAATTATATAATATATAAATATATACAATTATATATATTATTTATATAAATTATATAATTATATAATATATACACATAATATATACATAATGAGATATCTTGGGAATAGAACCCAAGTCTAAACACAAAATTTATTTATGTTTCATATACACCTTATACACACAGCCTGAAGGTAATTTAATACAATATTTTTAATAATTTTGTGCATAAAACAAAATTTACATTAAGCAATTAATATGTGGAATTTTCCACATGTGGCATCATGTTGGCGCACAAAAGTTTTAGATTTTGGAGCATTTCAGATTTTGGATTTTCAGATTAGAGATGCTCAACCTGTATCTGTATAATTCTAGTGAATCACTATTCAATCTCATCTGTAAGCCTATATTACCATGAATATCTGAACAAAGGTTAATAAGGATAGTAAGTACTTTCAAATGTACTAATCTTCATGGCTAGGGCAAACTGTTTTTTTTACACTTTTTTTTTTTTCAACATAGAGTCTTGCCCTGTCGCCCAGGCTGGAGTGTAGCAGTGAGATCATAGCTCACTGCAGCCTCAACCCGCTATGCTCAAGCGATCCTCCCACTTCAGCTTCCCAAGTAGCTGGGATCACAGGTGTGCACCACCAAGCCTGGCTAATTATTATTTTTTTTTTTGTAAAGATGAATTCTCACTATGTTGCCCAGCTGGTCTCGAATTCCTGCGCTCAAGTGATCCTCCTGCCTCAGCCTCCCAGAGTGCCGGGACTACAGGTCTGAGCCACTGTGCCTGGCTACATACATGTTTTACATATACTTTCCTCTGTTATGTTTATGCAAATATCTCCCATTAGCATGGAAAGTATGGAAGTCTGACTTCTAGAAATAGGAGATAACTGAACCAGAATTCCCTAAGAACTGTGAACATTTTTAAACATATTCCCAAGGGTCAAGTCTCATCATCCTTGAGTGTCATTCAAGGTTAATTTTATTGAATACAACAGATGATGAAGCTAATAGTGGAAACAAACCAACAAAGCTGATGTTCTTATGTAAATAATAAACTGGTTCTCAAGGTAGTCATGTTAAATTAAAGGAAATGATATATTGCTTCTCGGCCTTTTGACTAAGATCAAGTGCAAAGGAAATGATATGTTGTTGCCTTTCAAGGTGATTACTTTTGAAGGTAAAACCATATAAATGTTGTTCTGTTTAATTTGGCTATGTTTTTGAAAGTCTCGTTGCTTTATAAATAGATAATAATTATGTATTGTGTGCGATGAGTGCTTTCCTAGTGCCAGCCATTTTGCTAGACACTTTGATGGGAATTTATCATCTCAACCTCACAAAAGTCTGTCTCCATCCCCTGTGCAGAATCCAAAAGTTGTCTGCCAGAGATCCATTCTTTCCTTATTCCTTAGAAGAGAGTCCCTATTTTATGTGAAACTTCAAGGCTCCTAACTGAAGCACTAATTTATTTATTTATCTTTTATCTATTTGTTTATTTTGAGATGGAATTTCGCTCTTGTTGCCCAGGCTGGAGTGCAATGGTGCAATCTCAGCTCACTGCAACCTCTGCCTCCCCGGCTCAAGCAATTCTCCTGCCTCAGCCTCCCGAGTAGCTGGGATACATCCCAGGTACACACCACCACACCTGGCTAATTTTTGTATTTTTAGTAGAGATGGGGTTTCATCATGTTGGTCAGGCTGGTCTCGAACTCCTGACCTCAGGTGATCCACCTGCCTCGGCCTCCCAAAGTGCTGGGATTACAGGCGTGAGCCACTGGGCCCAGCCCTAAAGCACTAATTGACCAGTTCACCTGGTGATTAGCAGTGGCCAACAGGATGGAAACAGAAGTTGTTGAGTGACACCTCCAGAAGAGAAGAGAGACAGATTGATGGCATGCATGCCCTCTTTGTCCATTCCAATTTTTCTGCTGCCTGGAGTATGGATGAGATGGTTTGAGCTCCAACTGTCATCTTGTAATTTGTGGATGAAGATTACAAACTAAAGGTAGCAGAGGATGAAGATAAAAGAAACCTGGGCCTCTGGTACAATCAAGGAGCTGCCAACCCAGCCCCTGGCTGTCTACCACCAGAATTATTTCATACAAGAAAAAAATTAACTTATGTGACTAAGCCACTATTCTTTGGGATGTTTTGTTCTATGTTGTTTAACCTAATTATAACCGAGACACCTTCCCTTCATCTTACATGTAAGAATATTGAGGCCAGGCATGGTGGCTTATGCCTGTAATCCCAATACTCTGGGAGGCCATGGTGGGAGGATAACTTGAGGCCAGGCGTTTGAGACCAGCCTGGGCAACATAGCAAGACCTCGTCTCTACTAAAAAAAAAAAAAAATCAAAAAAAGATTAGCCAAGTGTGGTGATGCCTGCCTGTTGTCTCAACTACTCAGGAGGCTGAGACAGGAGGGTTGTTTGAGCCCAGGAGTTTGAGGGTACAGTGAGCTGTGATGGTGCCTCTGCATTCCAGCCTGGGCAACAGAGTGAGACCCTGTCTCAAAAAAGAGAGAGTGTTGAGACTTACATATAAGAGAATTGAGAATTGAGTAGCTTGTCTGAGGTCCAATAGCCAGTGGAGAGCCTGGATTCAACCCAGGCAATCTTAAGAAAGAAATTCACAGCATTTGTCCATTCACTTCCATTTAGCCCCAATACAATGCTATAAAATCACAGAAGTGGTTGAAGGTAAAGTAAGGTAGACTGTCTTAAAATCCAATGTACTGGGTCTATGGATTACTGACTAAGCATATAATTTACCTACTACGTAAGTTCATGAAATTGATGTAAAGACTATTATTCGATACTAAAAGTCCACTCCTCTTGCACAACAAATTTCAGAAATGACTTATCAGCAGGCCAAGAATGTTCTCAGACCACAAAACTAAGTCCCTGTATCCCCCTCCAAGGATATGCATGTCTCTATGGATGAAGCCATGTTGCCAATCCAGGCCTTCTTCACAACAGGATAACTCTCAATTTCCTGGATTTTGTGACTGATGGGGAAAGGAAGACATAAGTCAGCTGTGATATGCTCAAGATATTCTGCACCTGCGATTAAATAATGGTCATGCGTGTAAGAGCTATATTCCATTCATAGCAGAATACCAGGGAGGCACAGTTTTCCATGTGAAACCACATTCTCCCATGACTTCAGATGAAAGCCAAGGGCAGCCAAAGGATCATGTATGGTTTCACTGCCCAACCAAAAGGAAATTCTACAGTAACCACCACATTTCATTTTGCTGATTAGAATAAACCCCAAACAGTTTCATTAAAATTAAGGCCTATAATTGCATGGGGAAAATGGCCAGATTGCAATATGGGCTATTCTGTCTGCCCAGACATACGCAGTGATAATTGACATAGGCCACCACCTAATCACCAGAGTCAACCAGATCATGAAATCACTGAAAGAGACAATGACCAGTTCAGAGCTGAGTGCAGAAAGATCAAAATTCAGGGGCCTGCTCCTACAAAAACAAAGTAATTGCTAAGCAAATACCACGGAAACTCAGTCAGGGCCTGGGGAACCATGGAAGGCTACACAGCTAAATTTTTTTGTTTAGGAGGTTTGAATTGTCTTTTTTTTTTTTGAGATGGGGTCTTGCTCTGTCACCCAGGCTGGAGTGCGGTGGCACTATCTTGGCTCACTGCAACCTCTGCCTCCTGGGTTCAAAGGATCCTCCTGAACCTCCGCCTCCAAGTAGCTGGGATTACAGATGCCTGCCACCACACCCAGCTAATTTTTGCATTTTTAGTAGGGACAGGGTTTCACCATGTTGGCCAGGATGGTCTTGAACTCCTGACCTCAAGTAATCTGCCCACCTCAGCCTCCCAAGGTGCTGGGATTACAGGTGCAAGTCACCATGCCCAGCCTGAACTGCATTTCTAAACCTTTGTGCTGGGCATCCCTTTCATCCTTCTAGATCACCCTTCTCTACACAAAAGGCTGATCTGTAAGGATGACATCAAACAGCTCTCTTGTCCCTGGCTTCTGATTGGGTTTGGCAAATAGGGAGCTCCAGCAGGTGATAGAGGGAGAGAGGACAGTCAGCTCAGGGTGTTGGTTCTACTTAGTCATTGTGAGCTGGCTGAGCCTCTCAACTGGGGTCCATGGCTCTTGTCAGGCAGTCCTCCCTCTAGAGCCATCTAGCTCTCTCCAGGCTCCAGTGTCTTTCTCTTTCCTCACTCTGTCCACCCTCAGAATGGTAACTCTGCCCACCGCTATCTACCCTGGCACACCGCGCTCTCCATAGGGCTTCCAACACCCTGTCCTGCCCCAACTTCATAAACTCTCCTCAAATGACCCAGTTGGTATACGCCTTTCATTTCCTGTAAGAGCCCTAACATGACTTCTGAGCAGATGCGAACAGATATATGGAAATCCAGAGACCCCTGGACTGAGGGTTAGTGGACCTTCAGGGATTCCAGCAGCATTCCACCATGCTCATCCACGTGGCAGGATGACATACCCAATTTATCTGCTCTTGACCTTCTCTTGGATAAAACAAAGGGCTGAAGCCAGGTGCAGTGGCTCATGCAGGTAATCCCAGCACTTTGGGAGGCCGAGGTGGGTGGATCTCTTGAGATCAGGAGTTCTAGACCAGCCTGGCCAACATGGTGAAACCCCGCCTGTAATAAAAATACAAAAATTAGTCTGGGCGCAGTGGCTTATGCCTATAATCCTAGCACTTTGGGAGGCTGAGGCGGGTGGATCACTTGAGGTCAGGAGTTTGAAACCAGCTTGGCCATCATGGTGAAACCCCATCTCTACTAAAAATACAAAAAGTTAGCTGGGCATAGTGGTGCGTACCAGCTAAATTGGGAGGCTGATGCAGGAGAATCACTTGAACCCAGGAGGCGGAGGTTGAGGTTGCAGTGAGCCAAGATCGTGCCACCACACTCCAGCCTGGGCAACAGAGCAAGACTCCATCTCAACAACAACAAAAAAAACCTAGCTGGGTGCTGGTTGTGGTGGCGGGCACCTGTAATCCCAGCTACTTGGGAGGTTGAGGCAGGAGAATTGCTTGAACCCAGGAGGTAGACGTTGCAGTGAGCCAAGATCGCACCACTGCACTCCAGCCTGGGCGACAAAGTGTTTAAAAAAAAATTAATTAATTTAAAAAAAAAGAAAAAACAAAGGGCTGAAATGGTCTCAACAATCCTGTCGGATATAAGATCATTCTACAGACCTTTTTTACCTGCCCTACCCGTCCTCCTTTCTCTTCCTCGTGACTTCTCCTTTCACACACAGCTTCCTCCCCCATGAACACCACACAAACCAAACAGAAACCCAGGGACAGTACAGAACAATTAGGGTTAGAAAGGAAACAAATAAAATCACTTTTTTCTCCTCACACATCTTAATCTCAGAGCCACTACAAAATTAGACTCAGCAAATTCCACTTGAAATTTTAATATGACTATAAAACTATTTGGCAATGTGATAATTGGCATAAATTAGAACTTCATAGTTAAACAGAACAGTTGAACAGTTCAGGTTAAAATTGCTTTTGAAAAAAAATAAAATTGCTTTTGAATACTGACGTGCCCAAAGTTAAAAAACTATAAATGGGTCCTTGGTCAGCTAATTCCAAAACAATACACCCCAGACTTCTGTTAACACTTAATTAACACAAAACTAAAACAACATGCAGAACAATGTTGGAATCTGGTGTCCAGAAAAGAATTCAGCCAATTTATGGTTGTCAACCACTTAATGCAACTTGAGCCTGGGACAAAACAGAATTCTAAACCTTCTCCCATTTCCAATTATGTAAACTGCAAAATCAGCTGCTGCCACAAGTATGCATAAATGTAATCCCCAATTTTCCAAGTTAAACCTAGGTGTACCCTTAAATGATGCAGCTAAGGCTGTGACCTCAGAATGGGGTGGAAATGGGCAAAGACCAGAGTCAAGGGTGAGCCTTCACTCTGCAGCCTTCTGCAGACCGTGGGCATGTTACAGGAGTTCCCTGGACCACTGTTTCTTCATTCATAAAGTGGAGATAGAAATGCCTGCCTACTCCACCAATTCCACTTCTGGTTATATATCCAAAAGAATTGGCCAGGCACGGTGGCTCATGCTTGTAATCCCAGCACTTTGGGAGGCCGGGGCGGGAGGATCATGAGGTCAGGAGATCGAGACCATTCTGGCTAACACGGTGAAACCCTGTCTCTACTAAAAATACAAAAAAAATTAGCCGGGCGTGGTGGTGGGCGCCTGTAGTCCCAGCTACTCGGGAAGCTGAGGCAGGAGAATGGTGTGAACCCGGGAGGTGGAGCTTGTAGTGAGCCGAGATCGTGCCACTGCACTCCAGCCTGGGCGACACAGTGAGACCCCATCTCAAAAAAAAAAAAAAAAGGAATTGAGGCCGGGCGTGGTGGCTCACACCTGTAATCCCAGCACTTTGGGAGGCCAAGGCGGGCAGATCACAAGGTCAGGAGTTCAAGACCAGCCTGGCCAACATGGTGAAACCTCATTTCTACTAAAAAATACAAAAATTAGCCAGGTGTGGTGCCGGGCACCTGTAATCCCAGCTACTTGGGAGGCTGAGGCAGGATGATCACTTGAATCCGGGAGGCGGAGGTTGCAGTGAGCTGAGATCGCACCATTGCACTCCAGCCTGGGAGACAGAGTGAGACTCTGTATCAAAAAAAAAAAAAAAAAAAAAAAAAGAAGAATTGAAAGTAGGGTCTCGAAGAGGTCCTTACATACCCATTTATGTTCGTAACAGCAGCACTAACAGCCAAAAGGTGGAAACAACCCAAGTGTCCATCGGTGGTGAATAGATCAACAAAACACACTATATCCATACCATCAAATATTATTCTGCCTTAATAAAGGAAGGAAACCCTGTCACACGCTACAACATGAATAAACTTTGAGGACAAATACTGTATGATTTCACTTACGTGAGGTCCCTAGGGTAGTCAAATTTATATAGAGAGAAAGTAGAATGGTGGCTGTCAGGAACTGGGGGAGGAGCCTGGGTTGTTGTTCTATGGAAGAGTGCAGCCATAGAAAAGAACAAGATCATGTCTTTTGCAGGAACATGGATAGAGTTGGAAGCTATTATTCTTAGCAAACTAATACAGGAACAGAAAACCAAATATCACATGTTCTCATTTATAAGTGGGAGCTAAATGATGAAAACTCATGAATGCAAAGAAGGGCACAACAGAAACTAGAGTCTACTTGAGGGTGGTGAGTGAGAGGAGGGAGAGGAGCAGAAAAAAATTTTAAAAAAACTATTGGGACTAGTACCTGGATGATGAATAATCTGTACAACAAACACCCATGACGTGAGTTTACCTCCATAACAAACTGCCTATGTATCCCCGAACCTAAAATACAAGTTAAAAAAAACAAAAAGAGTTTCATTTCGGGAAGATGAAAAAGTTCCATAGATCTATTTCACAATAATGTGAATATACTTAATACTACTGAACTGTACCGTTAGAAATGGTTAAGATGAGTAGGCAGGCGTGGTGGCTCATGCCTGTAATCCCAGCACTTTGGGAGGCCAAGGTGGGTGGCTCATCTGAGGTCAGGAGTTTGAGACCAGCCTGGCCAACATGGTGAAACCCCATCTCTAATAAAAATATTTTAAAAATTAGCCGGGCGTGGTAGTGGGTGCCTGTAATCCCAGCTACTCAGGAGGCTGAGGCCAGAGAATTGCTTGAACCCAGGAGATGGAGGTTGCAGTGAGCCAACATGGTCCCACTGCACTCCAGCCTGGGTGACAGAGTGAGACTCTGTCTCAAAAAAAAAAAGAAAAGAAAAAAAAAGAAAAAGAAATGGTTAAGATGGTAAATTTCATGTTGCTTCTTACTACAATTTTTTAAATGGCTACCTTATTTAATCTCTGTGAGAATTAAATGATATCAAGTGCAAATGCCTGACACACAGTAGATGCTCGGTAAGTGTAACATTCTTTTCCTTCTCCTTCTGAATGGCTTGTGAATTATCACAAACATTAAAGAGACTTCTAGCATCCAAAGCCTATTGATATGGGTAGAAAGGGAGGATAAGATCTCAATTCATTTTCTTTGCCTCTCTCCTCCCTTTTCAACCCTTTGAATCAGGCCAGATCACCACCCACTATGGTTTGAATGTTTGTGTCCCCTCCAAAATTTATGTTGAAACTTAAATCCGCAATGCACAATATTAAGAGGTGGGGCTTTTAGGAGGTGATTCCATACGATGGAATACTGTGTGGAATATTCCCTCTCTGCCTTCATGAATGGGATTAGCAACTCTCTGAAAGGGCTGATGGGAACAGCATCCATTTCCTTTGGAGGATGCAGCAACAAGGGGCCACCTTGAAGGCAGAGACCAGCCCTCACCAGACACCAAGTGTTGGTGCCTCAGTCTTGGACTTCCCAGCCTCTAGAACTGAAAGAAATACATTTCTATTGTTTACAAATTACCTAATCTTGGTATTTTGAATAGTAGCATAAATAGACTAAAACACCAAACCAACTCAAAGCTCAGGCTAACAACTCTGGACACAGTGTGCCACCAACTCCAGAAGTGCTTGGCATCTGTCACCTAGTGTCCCAGAGCTGATCGCTGGGACTCCAGCAGCACACCCGGTCTCCCTTTGCTCCAAAAAGAACAGCCCTGAGACAATCCTTTCTATGTGCCTCCTGTACTTGTTAAAAGGTAGCAGTATATCCATGCATTTACAAAACCAATAGCAGATACCTCCGATGAACCAGGCACTGTTCTAGGCACAGGGAGTATGGCAATAAATAAGAGAGACAGGACGGGCAAAGTGGCTCACACCTGTAATCCCAGCACTTTGGGAGGCCAAGGAGGTCGGATCACCTGAGGTCAGGAGTTCAAGACAAGCCTGGCCAACATGGCGAAACCCTGTCTCTACTAAAAATACAAAAAACAAAATTAGTCGGGCATGGTGGTGGGCACCTGTAATCCCAGCTACTTGAGAGGCTGAGGCAAGAGAATCGCTTGAACCCAGGAGGCAGAGGTTGCAGTGAGCCAAGATCACGCCACTGCACTCCAGCCTGGGCAACAAGAGCAAAACTTTGTCTCAAAAAAAAAAAGAGAGAGAGAGAGACAAGGTACTTGCTTTCATGCTTTTCTTCCATTGGCCTCCTTTGGGGGCTCAGGTAATTTGTCAGTTTCCACCTCTCTGCCTTTGCCCATACTGCCTGGAGTCTTCTCCTGGCTTCTCTTTTTCATTCAAATAATAACCCTGACCCATCTTTTCAGACTCTGCCTCAAGTCCAAGCTCATTCTTACAATCCTTCAAACTCCTCTGATCAGGACTCTAAGTTTTCCTTTCCCTAAAGCACTTGTACCTAGAACCACATCACTCAGTGCTGAGTTACACTAGTCTTTCAACATGGCTTGGGATTCAATCTAGTTTTCTTTTCTTTTTTTGAGACAGAGTCTCATTCTGCCACCCAGGCTGGAGTGCAGTGGCACGATCTTGGCTCACTGCAACCTCCGCCTCCCGGGTTCACCCAATTCTCCTGCCTCAGCCTCCTGAGTAGCTGGGATTACAGGCACACACCACCACATCTGGCTAATTTTTTGTGTATTTTTAGTAGAGACAGGGTTTCTCTATGTTGGCCAGACTGGTTTCGAACTCCTGACCTCATGATCCACCCGCCTTGGCCTCCCAAACTGCTGGGATTACAGCCGTGAGCCACCACGCCCGGCCATGAATCTAGTTTTCTAACCAGATTTTAGCTCCCCAGTGGTCAAGGTCATCTTCATTTGTCCCCCTCTCCAACACTTCCTCAATGGACCTAACACACAGTGCTTGTCAGAGAAAGAGTCACAATGTTGAGCTGCCTGAAGCTTTGGATGTGACACAGGACATGTCTTCTTGGTGGCAGGGTGACCCAGCAATCTGTTCTCTGTGGCTGTGTCTATAAATGCCTGCCTTCCCTAAATGATATGTAACCCGAAATGCTAAAATAATTTCTAGCTGAAGTATAATTTATAGAATAGGATGAAATGCATACAGTTATGTTTAAAAGAACATCTATATTAATATTTCCCAAATCAGTCACACTGTCAACTGATTTGGAAAAAGAAAAAAGTTCTCACATGCTACCACTGTGCTAAACGGCAAGGGGGTAAGGGGACTGGGAGTGAAAAGGGAAGAGATCTGGCAAGAGAAGAGTTGCTTTCTTTAGGAAATGTTTGCATAATTGCATGGAAAGTTACACAGTATTGTTTAAAAGTAATTTCTGGTGGCCGGGCGTGGTGGCTCATGTCTGTGATCCTAGCACTTTGGGAGGCCGAGGAGGGCGGATTGCCTGAACTCACGAGTTCGAGACCAGCCTGGGCAACATGATGAAACCCTGTCTCTACTAAAATACAAAAAATTAGCCAGGTGTGGCAGCGTGCACCTGTAGTCCCAGCTACTCGGGAGGCTGAGACAGGAGAATTGCTTGAACCCGGGAGGCGGAGGTGGCAGTGAGCCCAGATCGCACCACTGCACTCCAGCCTGGGCGACAGAGCGAGACTCCATCTTAAAAAAAAAAAAAAAAGTAATTTCTGGCACTTCTCAAAGTTTGATTTTAGAGTCCATGGTTTTTGTCATTGTTCTGAGTTTTTCTGAGGGGGAGGCAAGGAAAACTGCTTGATCACTAGTGGTAATGATGCCTAACATCCAAAAATAACTGCAAGGAAACACCTTAGACATGAATATCTATGTGATTATGCAATAAACAAATCTCTATTAGCTATAGCAGATACAAACTACACATCTTCAACAAAATGAGAAATTATCAAATCAATAATGATATTGTTGCTTTGAGTTGGGTTAACTACCTAATTCTAGAAAAGGGGAAGCAAATTTTTCCTTACCTTTTGACATTCTACATTTCAAAGCAGTATATGAAGAGAATACTGGACGGAGAATCCAGATCTGTATTCTACACCAGTGTTGTCCAAAATAAATGTTAGTTTGGTGCAAAAGTCATTCTGGTTTTGCCTTGAAAAGTAATGGTGCAAAAACACTTTTGCACCAAACTAATAGAATGAGAGCCCTGTACGTTTTCTCGTTTTGTTTTGTTTTTGAGACAAAGTTTTGCTCTTGTTGCCCAGGCTGGAGTGCAATGGTGCGATCTCGGCTCAGTGCAACCTCCGCTTCCCAGGTTCAAGCAATTGTCCCGCCTCAGCCTCCCGAGTAGCTGGGAATACTGACCTGTGCCACCATGTATTTTTAGTAGAAATGGGTTTTCACCATGTTGGCCAGGCTTGTTTCGAACTCCTGACCTCAGGTGATCCTCCTGCCTCAGCCTCCGAAAGTGCTGGGATTACAGGTGTGAGCCACCATGCCCAGCCCCTATATGTCATTTTAAATATTCTGGTAGCCACACTAAAATGAATGAAGAGCAACAGATTAAGTTAATTTGAGCTCAGCGTATCAAAATACTATCATTTCAACATGTAATCAATATGGAAATTACTGAGTTATTTTACATTTTCTCATACATGGAGCAAAAGATTCTTCAAAATGCAACGTATCTTTTACACTTACATCACATCTCAGTTAGGACCAGGTGCGTTTCAAATGCTCCATAGCCATGTGTGTCTGGTGGCTACTGAGCACTAGACTCTGATCCTTTGGCAGCTAGAGATGTGACCCTGGATTTAACTAAGGTCCTCAGTGGTTCCTCAGTTCTCTCACCTTTGAAATGAGAGGGAGAAATAATCATCCAAAGTTCTTTCTACCTTAAATTCTGTGGTGTCCATAATTTATATAACAGCGGGAAGACAGCCATCCCCCCATCCAGTTCCAAATGTAATCCATGATCTTTACTAATAGCATGCTACTTTTTTTATATAAAATGGATACATCCCTATTGTAAAAAAAAATTTTGAAAAACACCCAAAAAAGTATAAAAAACAAGATAAAATGATCCATAATCTACCCAAATATTTATATTATGTTGATTAATTAAGCTGGGCATGGTGACTCCAGCCTGTAGTCCCAGATACTCTGGAGGCTGAGGCAGGAGGGTTGCTTAAGCCCAGAAGTTTGAGTCCAGCCTGGGCAACACAGCAAGGCTCCATCTCTAAAAAGAAAAACAGAGGGAAAAAAATCTAACTGTTGATGAAATTCCTTTCTGATTTTTTTTAACTCAATAAAAAACTGGAACTTTGAGGAGAAATTAATGTATTGCTATCCTCTCCCTTACATATATGAGGGATTTAAAAATAAAAGTCATATAATTCAGTTTTCAAGAATATGAGTCTACCTTGTTTATACTTTTAACATGAAAAGAATTCAAATGATTTTCTTTCAAAATCAGTTTATTAGAGGAGTCTGTGTCTTTTATCCCTCATTTAATTTCTGTAGACTTTTGTTTATTTCCATGACGTGTTATCTTGGGAGTCTTCGGTTTCTGTCCATTTTGTCTCCTTTCCCCCCATCTGTATTCATGGTCACCTGTTTCTACACACCCGTCTGGGGGCCCCCAAAACTTGTTACTGCTGCTGGTCAAGTCACAGAAGCAATCCTCTCCCAGAGAGACAATTTCCTTGGCAGTGCCAGAGTCTCTTGTTAGGATAAAAATAATCAGGCAGTCTCCAGCTCAGCTTGGCTATTAAGGGTTGCGATTATTTGGGATCAGCACCCCAGGGCAATGGTAAAATTTACTCTAAATTTCTTCCACCAACCTTTTTGAAGATTCTTTTCTAACCCGGCAATTCAATTAGTCAAAACGAAGACACTTTTGAATACTTAGTGTATTTATCTGTGGGAGTTGTTTGGATTTTAGAGAGGGATGAGAGAGGAAGATAGGGCTTTATCCCCCTTTAAAAGCCTCCCTTTCATTTCCTTTCCTTGTTCCTCATTTCTGATTCCTTTCTATCATTCAGAACGAGGGCTGGGTTTTGTATGTATGTGTGTGGTATGTGTTTTTAAGCACACAGTTGGAAGAGGAGAAGAAATGGAATGAAAGGTGAAATGGTAACCACCCGGCATCAGGGCACACGGCCGAAAGGCACTAGATCTCCTCCCGTCCGAAACATGGGCCACCAAACCAGTGAGCCAGTGCCACTGCCGGAGCCCATCAGGACACGCCCACTCTTTGATATGCTAATCAGTAGCTGAGGGTTGGTTGGAGCCGGCTGGAAAGCAGAGGCTTTCAGATGGCTGACTCGTTACAAAGCTGCAAACTTCAAAGCCCAGTTTAGAAGGTCCTGTTCTCGTATGGCAGAGTAAGTTTGCTTTTTTACAATGCTGAAGAGAAAATCCCAACAAATGAGAGTGCTTAAACAATGAAGCAGGCTCAACTCAAAATAAGGAACCAATCAGCAATATGGCTTCTATCTGTCCTTAGGACTTTAAACATTTCCAGATGATCGCATGCATCTGATTAGGGTCCCTGGAGCCCCACTCCTCTATCAGGGCCCACTGGAAGGGAGAACAGGAGGTTCCAAGGGTAGAGTCCCAGATTCAGACTCACTGGCAGGTAACACTCTACCCTGAACAATGTCGAGGTGGTTTCTAGCAGAAAGGCCAGCAGATGGTAAGACTTCACGTGATGCAATTCTTATCTTTTAGCGCACATAGGTAATTTGCAAAATTCTCTTACCTTTTTTGACTCAGGACAGAAATTGTGGTACCTCACCAGGGTTGGCCTTTTTGTAATGTGGGCCGGGAGCAGTGGCGCACACCTGTAATCCCAGCCCTTTGGGAGGCCAAAGTGGGCGGATCACTTGAGGTCAGGAGTTCCAGACCAACATGGTGAAACCGCGTCTCTACAAAAAATACAAAAGTTAGCCGGGCGTGGTGGCGGGCGCCTGTAATCCCAGCTACTGGGGAGGCTGAGGCAGAAGAATCGCTTGAACCCGGGAGGTGGAGGTTGCAGTGAGCTGAGATCGCGCCACTGCACTCCAGCCTGGGGACAGAGCAAGACTCCGTCTCAGAAAAAAAAAAAAAAAGATACAACTCCGATTAGATTACAGCCCCACCCTTCTGACCTCATTTAACCTTAAGTACCTCCTTATAGGCCCCGGCTCCAAATACAATCACAGTGGGGGTTAGAGATTGAAGGAGATCAGAAGATGCTTCCCCATAATATGCCACATTGGGGTATGGCGACTGAGAATCCACAGATGCAGAAAGAAGCCTTCTCAGAACTTCCCTTATCGAACTAAAAACAGCAACTTCTAGGAAATAAGGCTGCTGTAAATCCCCACTTCAGATCATATCTACTCCCAGAAGGGAGAACACGAATAAAAGCCACCCCCAATCCCTTCTCCAGGGGTTTTACGGTCCTGAAGGAGACGGAAAGATCACTCATACCTGTATAAACAAACATTATCACAAACTTTATCTCTCATTTGCTCTCCTAAAAACCCATTTGTCTTTCCTAAAGAAACCTATTTGTTCCTCACATAAAAGCTTTTGCTCTCCCTCCCTTTCCCCTACTAAGTTAGATGTATAAGCCTCTAACTTTAACCATTTAAAGAACCAGCTACTCCTTTGTGAGCATATATATATATATATATACACACATATATACCTTTTTTCTCCTGTTAATGTTTTCTGTCAGTTTAATTTGTAGGCCCAGAGATGCTGAACATGAGGGTAGAGAAAATTTTTTCTCCCCTATAATCTCCAACCTATGAATGGGGGCTGGGGGTGGGGGAGAATAGGACAGAATTCTGTTTATCGTCGTATTCAGGTGTCCTCAGTTAACCAAACCCCTTATACACACACGCTTTTGAAAAACAAACGTGGCAAGCTACGGGCAGAGCTGTGTCCATGAAGAGAGAATAGGAAAGAAGGGGGCAGGTGGGTGAACTACTGTGTGAACAAGATGGTGGCATCCTCCTTCACAGTTTTACCTGGAGGCACCACTACCTCCAGGCTTATCAGCTCTCGGGTTTCATCTTAAAAGAACTGTCTTTTCCGCTGGCTAATGGTGTTTATGTTGACCTGTGTGAGTTAGGGGGTGGTGTAGAAGGTTGACAAAGGGTTGCCATTGTGACAGGCGCTCAAACCAGAGTGACTCCATGTTGAATAGGGGCTGAGACCTACTGGGCTGCATTCCCAGGAGGTTAGGCATTCTTTTTTTCTTTTCTTTTTTTTTTTTTTTGAGACAGAGTCTCACTCTTGTTGCCCAGGCTGGAGTGCAATGACGCGATCTCGGCTCGCTGCAACCTCCGCCTCCCGGGTTCAAGGGATTCTCCTGCCTCAGCCTCCCAAGTAGCTGGGATTATAGGTGCCCGCCACCACACCTAGCTAATTTTTGTATTTTTAGTAGAGACGGGGTTTCACCATGTCGGCCAGGCTGGTCTTGAACTCCTGGCTTCAAGTGATCCACCTGCCCTCCCAAAGTGCTGGGTTCAAGTGATTCTCCTGCCTCACTCAGCCTCCCAAGTAGCTGGGATTACAGGCATGAACCACCATGCCCAGCTAATTTTGGATTTTCAGTAGAGACGGGTTTTCACCATGTTGGTCAGGCTGGTCTCAAACTCCTGACCTCAGGTGATCTGCCCACCTCAGCCTCCCAAAGTGCTGGGATTACAGGCATGAGCCACTGTGTCCAGCCGAAGTTAGGCATTCTTAGTCACAGGATGAGACAGGAGGTCGGCACAAGATATAGGTTATAAAGACTTTGCTGATAAAACAGGTCACGGTAAAGAAGCTGGCCAAAACCTACCCAAACCAAGATGGCGACGAAAGTGACCTCTGGTCATCCTCACTACTCATTATATGCTAATTATAAGGTAAATTATTAGCACGCTAAAAGACACTCCCACCAGCGCCATGACAGTTTACCAAGGCCATGGTAACATCAGGAAATTATCCTATATGGTCTAAAAAGGGGAGGAACCCTCAGCTCCGGGAATTGCCTAACCCTTTCCTGGAAACCTCATGAATAATCCACCCCTTTTTTAGCATACAATTAAGAAATAACCATAAGTATACTCAGTTGAGCAGCCCACGCCCCTGCTCTGCCAATGCAGTAGCCATTCTTTTATTCCTTTACTTTCCTAATAAGCTTGCTTTCACATTACTCTATGGATACTCCCCGGATTCTTTCTTGTGTGAGGTAAAAGAACCCTCTCTTGGGGTCTGAATAAGGACCCCTTTCTGGTAACATTGTGGCTTGAACGTAACCCTGCATTTCCCCTGTGTTCTTCCTAGGATTCAATCCATCTGGAGGGCCTGGGAGGCAGCCCTGCAAATGAGTTGCAGGAGACTTGGCAGAGTCCCCTGGGAGAGAACTAATCCTAAGAGAGAGCTTCATCTTAGGGCAAAATCTCATGGTCCCCTACCTGCAGATAACCCTTGGACCTAAATTGCAAGGATTCTAGTCTAAGTTAAAGCAGAAAAGGCAGAGTAAAAAACCAAAAGGCCTGTTTACTAAATCTCTGAGAGACGTTGAGAGCCCTGTTTGCGGAGATTATCATAAAAGTAGGAGAATGGCCGAGCGTGGTGGCTCACGCCTGTAATGCCAGCACTTTGGGAGGCCGAGGCAGATGAATCAGAGTTCAGGAGTTCAAAACCAGCCTGGCCAACATGGTGAAACCCAGTCTCTACTAAAAATATATTTTTTAAAAATTAGGCATGCATGGTGGTGGGCACCTGTAATCCCAGCTACTCGGGAGGCTGAGGCAGGAGAATCACTTGAACCTGGGAGGCGGAGGTTGCAGTGAACCAAGAGCATGCCATTGTACTCCAGCCTGGGCAATAAGAGTGAAACTAAGTCTCAAAAAAATAAAAATAATAATAATAAAATAATGAAGGTAGGAGAAGTTACATTATCCACTTTCCCGCCCATTCCCATGTGCCTGCCACACACACACACACACACACACACACACAACACACACACACACTTTCCCTCACTCCTTTGCAAGCAGTTCAAGACAGCTCTGCCCTCCAGGGACCCAGATGCTCCAGAGGTACCAGGCGGCTGCAATTCCAGCGACTTTGTCTCTACCTGGCACTGCACAAGATGGTGACATTGGCAACGACCGAAAATATCTCCCGCTCCCTCAGGGGACTGACACAGCGGACAAAAAAAAAAAAAATGGCCATACACGCAAGATTAACTGCATTAAAAATATGCATGGAAAATAATAATGGAAGGAAATACTGTAAATGGGTTTCTTTCCTGTACAGAATTGGCAGCCTAAATCATTGCCTCCTTTAAGAGTGACATAAATTTCACTCGGACCCCCTCTCCCACCTCCAGAATGAAGTCTAGGATCCTCCCCGAAGCCACCATGAATTCCAGAGGGCTTGGGCTTCACCATCTGAGGCTCTCATTTCCTGTCCCCCGTTCCACCCTCAGTCCCACGGACTCCTCGCCTCCCTCAGCTGATCTTTTCCCTGCGCTTTCCCGATTTCTTACCAACCGTTGACACAGGACTTTATGTGTCACAGTCTTCGCAGAGGTGTAGGGCTTGGCGATGGAGGGCAGAGAAGGGTGCCCATTTCATCACAGCACTTAAAATTCCTCCAGCCACCCCCACCCTAGTGCCCTTCTCAGCCACCCACATCTGCACAGCCCCAGGCTGCCACCCGTCACCCTGCGGCCGGCCCCCTCCCTCTCCCTCTCACCCCTCCTTTTCCTCACCTCTCCCCTCCTTCCTCCATCACCGCCCACGAATTCTTCTTCATTTGTAATGCAGAGTGTTTCAGAGCCTCCATCCACCAGGCCTGGGGAAGGACCTCCCCTTTGCATTTCACCAGTGAAGTAGCCAGTCAAGGTATTTTACCCAACACAAGGCTACTTACTCCGGAGAGGAATTCTGCCACTCCCTGAGGGGAAGCAGCTGCCATGGTTTAAAATAGTATTTTTACCTCTACCTCTATTACAACGATTTTCCAAACTTTCCCCACAAGCATGTATTAATTTCAAAGAAATGTGAACAGTTTACATAACTAGAGGCCAGTGGGGCAGTTTTTACCCCCAGGGGACATTTGGCAATGTCTGGAGATATTTTTGATTGTCACAGCTGGGGGTGGAAGGCAGCACTGCAGGTGGGAAATGGAGGCCACCCATGCCACTAAACATTCTGCAATGAACAGGATAGCCCCCCCGCTACAAAGAATTATGGGGCCCCCAGGCCGGGCGCGGTGGCTCACGCCTGTAATCCCAGCACTTTGGGAGGCCGAGGCGGGCGGGTCACTTGAGGTCAGGAGTTTGAGACCAGCCTGGCCAACATGGCAAAACCTCCTCTCTACTAAAACTACAAAAATTAGCCGAGCGTAGTGGTGCATGCCTGTAATCCCAGCTACTCGGGAGGCTGAGGTAGGAGAATCTCTTGAAGCCGGGAGGCGGAGGTTGCAGTGACCCAAGATCACATCAGTGCACTCCAGCCTGGGCGACAGAGCGAGATTCTGTCTCAAAAAAAAAAAAAAAAAAAAAAAAAAAAAAAGAATTATGGGGCCCCGAATGTTACTAATGCTGATGTAGAGAAATCTTGCATTTAAAGAGAGTAACATAGTGACTCTCTCTTCCTCTGTCTAAAGTGGGACCAATTAAAGAAAGCCATTTCCTGCCGGGCGCAGTGGCTCATGCCTGTAATCCCAGCACTTTGGGAGGCCAAGGCGGGTGGATCACCTGAGGTCAGGAGCTCGAGACCAGCCTGACCAACATGGCGAAACCCCGTCTCTACTAAAAATACAAAATTAGCCAGGCGTGGTGGCGGGCGCCTGCAATCCCAGCTACTCCGGAGGCTGAGGCAGGGGAATTGCTTGAACCCGGGAGGTGGAGGTTGCAGTGAACCGAGAACACGCCACTGCACTCCAGCCTGGGCAGTAAGAGCGAAACTCTGTCTCAAAAAAAAAAAAAAAAAAGAAAGAAAGAAAGAAAGAAAGCCATTTCCTTCACTTTGTCAGAACAACTACAACAATAGCAACTAGGAACTCTTAGTCCCTTACTCTGTTCCTAGCAACGTTAGAAGGTAAGTAGCTGTCCGGTCATCAGCCCCCTTTTTAAGGACAAGTCCTAGAGGGGTAAAGAAATTGCTAAGTTCACACACAGAGTAGGTAATAGACCCCAGGCAACCTGACACAGAGATGGCTGTGTCAGTCAGGGAGGCAGTCTTGCTAACATTCACACCTTGGTCTTAAACTTGCCACACACAGATATTTCTTGCATGTCTACCCTATTACTAAGCAAACAGAGAAGGTGCTAAAGGAACATGAAACTTTGACTAAGAAGTTCCATCCCAGGCCAGCTGTGGTGTCTCACATCTGTAACCCCAGCACTTCGGGAGGCTGAGGCGGGCGGATCACGAGGTAAAAAGATCGAAACCATCCTGGCCAAAATGGTGAAACCCCGTCTTTACTAAAAATACAGAAATTAGCTGGGCATGGTGGCTCGCGCCTGTAGTCCCAGCTCCTCAGGAGGCTGAAGCAGGAGAATCACTTAAACCCAGGAGGCAGAGGTTGCGGTAAGCCGAGATTGAGCCACTGCACTCCAGCCTGGCGACAGAGAGAGACTCTGTCTCAAAAAATAAATAAATAAATAAATAAAAAGAAGAAGTTCCATCCCAAAATTGTGAAGGGAATTTTGTATTTTGTAGACAGGACTTCATAGTGTGCTTCACTGAGGAGGCTTGGGTTTCGTTCTTTAAAAGTAATTAATCGGCCGGGCGCGGTGGCTCACGCCTGTAATCCCAGCACTTTGGGAGGCCGAGGCGGTCAGATCACAAAGTCAGGAGATCGAGACCATCCTGGCTAACACGGTGAAACCCCGTCTCTACTAAAAGTACAAACAATTAGCCAGGTGTGGTGGCGGGCGCCTGTAGTCCCAGCTACTCGGGAGGCCGAGGCAGGAGAATGGCGTAAACCCAGGAGGCGGAGCTTGCAGTAAGCTGAGATTGCGCCAGGGCACTCCAGCCTGGGCGACAGAGCGAGACTGTGTCTCAAAAAAAATAAATAAATAAAAATAAAAGTAATTAATCACAAGCCAGGCATGGTGGCTCACGCCTGTAATCCCAGCACTTTGGGAGGCCGAGGCGGGTGGATCACTTGAGGTCAGGAGTTCGAGACCAGCCTGGTCAACATGGTGAAACCCCATCTCTACTAAATTCTCATGAGGATATGGAGAAATCGAATCACTGATATATCGCTGGTGAGAATGTAAAAATGGTACAGCCACTCTGGAAAACAGTTTAACAGTTTCTTTCTGGGCCGGGCATGGTGGCTCATGCCTGTAATCCCAGCACTTTGGGAGGCTGAGGCGGGTGGATCACGAGGTCAGGAGTTCGAGACCAGCCTGACCAACATGGTGAAACCCCGTCTCTACTAAAAACACAAAAATTAGCTGGGTGTGGTGGCGAGCACCAGTAATCCCAGCTACTCAGGAGGCTGAGGCAGGAGAATCATTTGAACCTGGGAGGCAGAGGTTGCAGTGAGCCGAGATTCTGCCGTTGCAATCCAGCCAGGGTGAGACTCCGGAAAACAAACAAACAAACAAAAAAACAGTTTCTTTCTTTGTGGGGGTAGTGGGGACAGGGTCTTGCTCTGTCACCCATGCTGGAGTGCAATGACGTGATCATAGCTCACTGCAGTCTTGATCTCCCATGCTTAAATGATCCTCCCACATCAGTCTCCTGACTAGTTGGGACTACAGGTATGTGTCACTATGCCCAGCTAATTTGTATTTTTATTTTGTTGTTTAGTAGAAACGTGGTCTCCCTATGTTGATCAGGCTGCTCTTGAACTCCTGAGCTCAAGTGATCCTCTGGCAGTTTGATAGTTTCTTTAAAAACTAAATACACACATGGCTGGGCATGGTGGCTCACGCCTATAATCACAGCACTTTGGGAGGCCAAGGTGGGCGGATCACCAGGTCAGGAGTTTGAGACCAGCCTGGACAACAGAGTGAAACCTCGTCTCTACTAAAAATATAAAAATTAGCCAGGCATGGTGGCTCATGCCTGTAGTCCCAGCTACTTGAGAGGCTGAGGCAGGAGAATCACTTGAACCCGGGAGGCGTAGGTTGGAGTGAGCCAAGATCATGCCACCGCACTCCAGGCTGGGTAACAGAGTGAGAGTCTGCCTCAAAAAAAAAAAACCCCAAAAAACTAAATACGCGCTTACTCTAAGGCCCAGCAGTTGCACTCCTGCTAATTTATCCCAGATGATTTAGGATTTCTGCTCACACAAAAACTTTCCATGAATGTTTATAGCAGCTTTCCTTGTAATAGCCAAAAACTGGAAACAACCCGGATGTCCTTTGATAAGTAAGTGGTTATAAAACAGCTTTGCTAGATCCACATTATGGAACATCACTCAGCAACAGAAATAATGAACTATCACTACAGTCAACACCCTGGATGGATCTCCAGAGATGCTGGGTGACAAAAGTCAATCCCAAAAGATTACATACTGTATGATTTCATTGACATAACATTCTTGAAATGACAAAATTATAGAGATGGAGAACAGATTAGTGGTTGCCAGTGGTTAAAGAAGACATAAGGACAAGAGAGAAGCAGGTTAAAGAAGACATAAGGGCAAGAGAGGCGGGTGGGTCATGAGGTCAGGAGTTCAAGACCAGCCTGGCCAACATGGTGAAACCCTGTCTCTACTAAAAACACAAAAATTAGCTGGGTGTGGTGGCGAGCACCAGTAATCCCAGCTACTCAGGAGGCTGAGGCAGGAGAATCATTTGAACCTGGGAGGCGGAGGTTATAAAAAGGCAACAGGAAGGATCTTCTGGAGATATAAATGTTTTCTTTCTTGACTGTTTTAATGTTGATATCATGGTTATCATATTTTAGTATAGTTTTGCAGGGTATACTATTAAGGGAAACTAGGCAAAAGGTATAGGAGATTTCTCTGTCTTATTTCTTACAGCTTCATGTGACTCTATAATCTCAAAATAAAAAGTTTAATTATATATATATATTATATATATATATTAGATAGAAAGATAGACAGATAAGGCCGGGTGTGGTGGCTCACACCTGTAATCCCAGAACTTTGGGTGGCCAAGGCAGGAGGATTGCTGGAGCCCAGGAGTTCCAGACCAGCCTGGGCAATATAGTGAGACTCCGTCTCTGCAAAAAATTAAAAATTAGCTGAGTGTGGTGGCACATGCCTGTAGTCCCAGTTACTTGGGAGGCTGATGCAGGAGGATCACTTGAGCCCAGAAATTTGAGGCTGCAGTGAATTATGATCACACCACTATGTTCCAGCCTGGGTGACAGAGTGAGAACCTGTCTCAAAAAAAAAAAAAAAAAAAAAAAAGAGAGAAAGATAGATAAACAGGTAAATAGGAGGAATGCACCTTAAGCTATTCAGACAGCCAAAGTTTCAAAGAAAGGCCCTAATATGAGCTCTAGGAAAAGGCAAAAATGCAGGCACAGATGGGCTAGCTCCTTAAGGCTAACAAGTACCCATTCACTGGAGGAGGCAACCCTAAAATGTGATCAGGTGACAAGTGGCCCCACGGTCCTGAGGAGCAGGCACTCTAACCCATGTAAAATAAACCGGACACATGGAAATTGTAATGTGAGGAGAGTGTGGAAGCCAGGGAAGGGATGCTGTAATGACAAGTGCAAACAGAGAGCGGGGAGTTTCCATGGAGTCTGGAAAGCTGGAGGGCAAAACACTGGGTGTTTTCCAGCACTGACCAGAGCAGAACATGGCTGGCCAATGTAAACATCCAGTCCACTGGGCAAACATACTCCTCACTGAAGGAGGATGTTTCACGGGGACAGCCACCGTGTGATAAAAATATACCCTCTAGGAAATCCAGTTTCCTTTGCCCAGGGTTCTAAACTCATCAAGCAACCTTCCGATCTTAATTTGATTTTTGATGGTTTCCTCACTGGAAGAGAAGGCGCTAACAGTATCCAGTCTGCTAAATGATTGTGTTTTCCTGCCTTATCACCCCCCATGGTTTTTGGCATTGGGTATTTTGTTCTAAATTGTTTTCTCTCTCAGGCGTAATAGTATTTTCCCTCTAACAAGAATATAAACCCCCCTAAGCAAAGGGATAGAGTTGACAAACATGTATTAAGCACCTCCTGTGTGCTTGGAACTGTGCAAGAATCAAAGGCAAGATGCCAGCAGATGTGATTCCTGCTCTCAGTGAGTGCTGGTTCCCTGGGGCTCCTGTACCCCCTGGGCTGGTGGTCATGGTGGTATGGCCAAGAGTGTGGGCTCCAGAATCAAACCGGTGGAGTCCAGATTCTGGCTCCAGTGTTTCCTGTCTGCATGACCTTGAGCAATTTACCCAATCTCTCTGACCTTCAGTGTTCTCATCTCTAAAGTGGGAATGATACCTCACAATGTGGTTGTGAGGATTCAATGAGTTAATTTGGATACAATTAAGTACCAGAGACATAGTAAGCATTTATTAGATGGGAAGTCTTGTTACTCTGATAATCATTCTCATAACCAAGAGGTCTCAGATTTCTCCGTCCTTGGGGATGCCACTTCCCTCTACTGCCTATAAACCAAAAAGTGTCTGAGACAGATCTCAGTCCATTTAGAGGTTTATTTTGCCAAGGTTGAGGACGTGCCTGGGGAAAAGAGGCAAGTTACGGTAGGATGAGAGGCCTGTGCTTTTTCCAGAAAGAGTTTTTAGAACTTCAGTATTTAAAGGGGAAAGAGTGGACAGGAGGGGAAGGAGGAAAAGAAAGGGGAAAAAAGAAAGTGGGGAGGGTAGGAGGTGAGGTGGTTACATCTTGTGAGGCTTTGATTGGTGCTCTCGAAATCCACATTTTACATGTGAAAAAAAAGAAGAGTGAGGAGAGTCAACTATGCATTCATGTCATGCTTCATTTTACATAAGATAAAGTAAGCATACCAGCCTGGGCAACATGGCAAAACCCTGAGTCTACAAAAAAAAAAAAAATTAGCCAGGTGTAGTGCACACACCTATAGTCCAGCTACTTGGGAGGCTGAGATGGGAGGATCACTTGAGCCAGGAGGTTAAGGCTGCAGTAAGCCATGATCACACCACTGCACTCCAGCCTGGGCAACAGAGTGAGACCTTGTTTCAAAACAAATAATAAATAACAAAATAAGCATAGAGTAGAGGAAGAAGTAAAATATGCATTTGTCTCAGGATAGGTGGAGGGATGGTTTCTAGTCTTGTTTTTGTCCCGTACCTGTGAAGATAGGCTATTAATTTATTTACATTGTCAGGGTGAGATTCAACAGAACTCTGTTTTAGGGTTAGTTTATAGAGGGAATATGCATTCTGAGAGATTTGGGTGTCCACAAGGAATTTCCTTGTGAGCAATTTGTGAGGAAGTCCTCGTCAGCGGGATAGGTGGCCTTCTATCATTGCAGCTAGATAACTGTTTGGGAACAAAAAGGAAGGTGATTTTTTGCATGACTCAGTTCCCAAGCTTAACTTTCCCTTTGGCATAGTGAGTTTGGGGTCCCAAGATGTTACCTTCCTTTCACATACCCAACTAACTTGTTTGGCCATGCAAGGTCCAATTATTTACCAAGTTCCCCTCTCCCAGCATCTAGGAACCCTGGAGAGTGCAGAGAAGCTCTATAAATCTGCCTTGGTTGTCACTTGCCACAAACCAGCATCTGGCTCAAGCCCATTGCCCTTCAGACCCTCGATAGGCATCTTCAGACCAGCTTCTATTCTCCACTGTGGCCACCTCCACCAGCCCCAAGAGTGGGCCAAGCCTGCCCTCCTTCCCACACAGTGCTGCCTGAGGCCAGGCCTTCACATTCATCATGTGGCCTTTGGAAGGCTTGGGGATAACCAAAGAAGCTGAGCCCAGAAAATTCTGAACATGTTTCAGAGTCTTGGCTCACCATTCTGTTTCAGGGACTGCCTCTCTAAAAAAGAAACCACGAAGGCTCCAGGCCTCATATCATTTGAGGCCCCCAGAGAAGAAAAAAAAAAAAAAGGGTCCTGATTTGTTTTGTTTTGCTTTAAATGGAAACTGAATCTCAAACATGCAACTCTGCCCACCAAGAAGACAGTCTTGTTCAATTCGTGTGTAGAGAAGTTGAGCCACATGCCTCCAACTTCCACATAGCCCAAATCTCTTTGCTTTACCTTTACATTTGCAGGTCTGTGAGATCCAATATTGAGGGAGTCAGAACCATGGGACCTCCCTGCAGCAAAAATACACTGTTGTCACCACTTCAGTGGAAGTCTGAATCCATCTATAACCACAGAGGCTTGAAAAATCTTGAGGCTGGCCGGGCGCGGTGGCTCACGCCTGTAATCCCAGCACTTTGGGAGGCCGAGGCGGGCAGATCATGAGGTCAGGAGATCGAGACCATCCTGGCTAACACGGTGAAACCCTGTCTCTACTAAAAATGCAAAAAAAAAAATTCGCCAGGCGTGGTGGCAGGCGCCTGTAGTCCCAGCTACTCGGGAGGCTGAGGCAGGAGAATGGCGTGAATCCGGGAGGCGGAGCTTGCAGTGAGCTGAGATCGCGACACTGCACTCCAGCCTGGGCAACAGAGTGAGACTCCGTCTCAACAACAACAACAAAAAAAAAATCTTGAGGCCCTTTATTGACCAAGGCACCCTATCACGGATATTTACATTTATTTTGCATAGCGTAAGACACCATAGCTGAATTGAGGGGAAAAAAACCTTTCACATTTCCACCAAGTATCTAAACACAGTATTCATCAGGAGAAATTCCAGTCTGACCTCCCGAATTCCTTAAAAAAGAAAAGAAAACATTGAAGAGAAATAAAGCAAAGCCCACCCAAACCCTCATTTGCGCCATGCGTGGTGGCTCACGCCTGTAATCTCAGCACTTCAGGAGGTCAAAGCAGGCAGATCACTTGAGCTCAGGCATTGGAGACCAGCCTGGGCAACATGGTGAGACCACCGTCTTTACAAAAAATTTAAAACATTAGCTGGGTGTGGCAGCACACACCTGTGGTCCCAGCTACTCAGGAGGCTGAAGGGGGAGGATCACTTGAGCCTGGGAGGTTGAGGCTACAGGAAGCTATAATTGTGCCACTGCATTCCAGCCATGGCAACAGAGCAAGACCTTGTCTCAAAAAATAAATAAATAAATAAAAATAAAATAAAATAAATTATCATTCTCCTTCCCTCCTGTAACTGCCCAATGGATTCACCTTGCCCACTGCCTAGACAGAGCCAATTTATCAAGACACGGGAATTGCAATAGAGAAAGAGTAATTCATGCAGAGCCAGCTGTGCAGGAGACTGGAGTTTTATTATTACTCAAATCAGTCTCCCCGAGCATTTTAAGGACAACTTGGTGAGTTGGGGGAAGCCAGTGAGCCAAGAGTGCTGATTGGTCAGAGATGGAATCAGAGGGAATTGAAGTTGTCCTCTTGCACTGTTGGTTCCTGGGAGGGGGCCACAAGATCAGATGGGCCAGTTTATTGATCTGGGTGGGGCCAGCTGATCCATCAAGTGCAGGATCTGCAAAATATCTCAAGCACTGATCTTAGCAGCAGTTTAGGGAGGGTCAGGATCTTGTAATCTCTAGCTGCGTGACTCCTAAACTATAATTTCTAATCTTTTGGCTAATGTTGGCCCTACAAAGGCAATCTAGTCCCCAGGCAAGAAGGAGGTCTACTTTGGGAAAGGGTTGTTTTCTTCTTTGTTTTAAACTATAAACTATAGGCTGGGTGGGGTGGCTCATGCCTGTAATCCCAACAATTTGGGAGGTCAAGGCAGTGGATCACCTGAGGTCAAGGAGTTCGAGACCAGCCTGGTCAACATGGCGAAACCCCATCTCCACTAAAAATACAAAAGTTAGCCAGGCATGGTGGCGGTCGCCTGTAGTCTCAGCTACCCGAGAGGCCGAGGCAGGAGAATCGCTTGAACCCGGGAGACCGAGGTTGCAGTGAGCCGAGATCACACCACTGCACTCCAGCCTGGGCGATAGAGTGAGACTCTGTCTCGAACAAACAAACAAAAAAACCAAAAAAACACTATAAACTATAAACTAAGTTTCTCCCAAAGTTAGTTCAGCCTACACCCAGGAATGAACATGGAAAGCTTGGAGGTTAGAAGCAAGATGGAATCAATTAAGTTAGATCTCTTTCACTGTCTCAGCCATAATTTTGCAGAGGTGGTTTCACTCCCAGTTCTCTGCCCCAGGACTTGTCCTGGAGCTACTCCTTTCTCCTGTTTAAGTTGTTTATCCCCATGCTAGGTTAAATCAGCCAAGGCTCTACTCATCAGCCTGAATAGGGCAGCCAGGCCAGCAGAAGGAACACAATCTTCCCTAAAAGTTCAGTGGAAAGTTGTGCAGACGCGTGCTTCCATTTGTCATTGTCGTTGTTTCTCCTACTTTGTAGGTTACCTAGTGAGAGGCAGTTTTCCCCAACAGTTATCATTAAACAGGTGGCTTTCTCATGTCAACTACACATTTGCCCTTGAACTTGGCCAACAACTCACCTAGTTTGATTATTTTATTTTACAAAAGAAAAGTCAAAAAGTGTTCAAAAGAGAAGAAAAGGAGAAGAAGAAGAAAGAGGAGGGGAGATGAAAAGAAGTAAGATAAGGAAAAGTGAGAGGGGAGAGAAAAAGAACACGATTGAACATTTTCTGTGCAGCAAGGGAAGCGCCACCAGCCGTTAAAGAGGTCGTTAAAGACAGTCTGTTCATTTTCCCTGCACATTCTGGGGATCCCAAAATAAGATCCATGGGAGATGACATTACACTTTTCCAAAACACCTTTCTGAGAACACCTCCCACAATGTGTCAAAACAAATGAAATTCTACATCTCTGCTTATAAATATTTTCCCCCAGCAACAAATGAAAGCTGTGATTCTACAGATACCTCGTGGCTTCCTGTTCCTTAGAAGGGGTGTAGAGGCAGAGACATTTGCGGCAGCATCATTTTTATACTATGAGTGAGCACACATTTACATAATTCCATTCAAAAATAACTGATTGAATATACATAGTATTATATAAATATGTATCAATACCTATGAGAACTAAATTAAGAGAAGCTAGTCAGAACCAGGCAGTGTGTGGGAGCCCCCTCAATTCCTGCAGCAGGGTTGGGCTGCCTGACTTTGGGGAACAGATGCTATTTGAGTACCGGGGCATTATTCACCTAGAACTGCCCTGTGTCCGTCCCTGATCCCATAGCACGGTGGATAAATAAAATCTGTGCTCATGCATTAGATCAGCATGAATTACCACTGAAAATACATATAAGATGCAGGAATTGCATCTTTATTTCCAAACATATTTGTTATGAAAGACTCAGAGATTGGGGAAACCAGGGGAAAATGTTAGCATTTCTTAGGAAGGTTTCGAGTTGCATCTGCTACTTGAATACTTAAACTGAGCGAGTGGCCTTAAAGATATTAATAAATACCTATTGAAACGCAACGAATTTGGGAGAGAAGAAGACATCCTATGAATTTATTTATTTCTGAATCTTCACTGAAGGAAAAATTAAAACTATTTTTTATTAGTCAGCTCTGGTTCCCATAAGAACGTGCCACAGCATGGGTGGTGTAAACAGCAGAAATGTATTTTCTTTCAGCTCTCCTCTTCCTAGCTTGCAAGATGGGGGCCTCTTCTCTACGTCCTCATGTGGCCCTTCCTCTGTGCACAGGAATTCCTGGTGTCCCTGCCTCTTCTTTTTGTTTTAGAGACAAGGTCTCTGTCACACAGGCTGGAGTGCAATGGCAAAATCATAGCTCACTGCTGCCTCGACCTCCTAAACTCTAGTGATCCTCTCACTTCAATCAGTCTCCCAAGTAGCTGGGAGAAAAATTAACCGGGTTAATTTTTCTTCCTAATTTTTTGTAAAGATGGAGATCTTGCTATGTTGTTCAGGCTGTTCTCCACCTCCTGGGCTCAAGCTAGCCTCCCCACTCCGGCCTTTCAAAGTGCTGGGATTACAGGCGTACGCCACTGCACCCATCTCTTCCTCTTCTTACAAGGACACCAATCAGTCTTATAGGATTAAGAACACACCCTTGTGACCTCATTTAACCTTAACTACCTCCCTAAAGGCGCTATCTCCAAACACAGCCACATTGAGGGCTAGAGGTTCAATGTATGAATTTTGGTAGGGGGGTAAATATCCTCCAAAGTCCAGTGGCACGATCTTGGCTCACTGCAACCTCCACCTCCCAGGTTCAAGCGATTCTGCTCAGCCTCCCCAGTAGCTGGGACTACAGTCACCTGCCAATGCGCCCAGCTAATTTTTTGTATTTTTAGTAGAGACGGGGTTTCACCATATTGGCCAGGTTGGTCGCAAACTCTAGACCTCAGACGTTCCGCCCACCTCGGCCCCACAAAGTGCTGGGATTACAGGTATGAGCCACTGCACCCCGCCCAAAGTTCTTTTGAAGTGGCTTCTTTGTGTGGGGTAAATACCCAGGGTTCATCATCTCACACCAAGAAAATTTAGCACATGGACACATTTGAGGAGTTTAGGAGTGGAGGTTTAATAGGCAAAGTAAAGAGAAAGGAGAACAGCTCTCTCTCTAGTGAAAGAGATGAGCTTCTGAAAGGGAAAGACCAGCTGGTGGTAGATGCCCCGGATTTTATAGGCAGGCTTGAGGAGGCGGTATCTGATTTACTTAGGGCCCACAGATAGGTTCGATCAGGTGTAACGTTTACATAGTGCAGGGAAGGCTGGCCGCCCCACCCTAATCTTATTATGCGAATGAACTTTCCACACGACCGGCACCATCTTGTTTGCTCCTTACTGTACACAAGGCTGGCAGAGACAGAAGGGAAGCTGGGGCCATCATTTTGAACATGATTGGTACACCTGCCGGCATCTATGTCTGCAGCTCGATTTTATAGGTTGCTGTTTGTTAGAAAATGATTTGGGGGCTGCTTTTCATTAAAAAGGGAAACCTTACCGAGGACTCCTGTACCTTCACTAACTGCCTAAGTAATTTCTTCTTAACTCCTATATCACTTTCAAGTTGAATGCCGTGGCTCAGGCCTATAATCCCAGCACTTTGGGAGGCCCACGTGGGCAGATTGCTTGAGCTCAGGAGTTCAAGACCAGCTTAGGCAAACATAGCAAAACATTGTCTCTACTATTTTTTTTTTTAAGATGGAGTCTTACTCTGTCACCTAGGCTGGAGTGCAGTGGCGTGACCTTGGCTCACTGCAACCTCTGCCTCCTAGGTTCAAGCGATTCTCCTGCCTCAGCCTTCTGAGTAGCTGGAGTTACAGGTGCCCACCACCACGTCTGGCTAATTTTTGTATTGTTAGTAGAGACAGGGTTTCACCTTGTTGGCCAGGCTGGTCTCGAACTCCTGACCTCAAGTGATCCGCCTGCCTCAGTCCCACAAAATGTTGGGATTATAGGCGTGAGCCACCGTGCCTGACCATCTCTACTTTTGTAAGAAAAGAAGGAAACAAAGTGCTTTTAACTAAAAAGATTGACTATTTCAAATATCTACCAGAGCTAAAATATAGAAACAGACATAGGTTTAGAAATATTGAAGTTGAGGATGATAAGCACAGAATGACTAATGCATGTGCTGCTCTTCTCCTTGTAGGGGGTGGTTGGGGACAGTTTTTATTTGCTTTGTTCCCCTACCTCTCCACCCCCGTCCCCATTACTCTATATGGACCCTTTTAACTTCTCAAAACCAAAGTTCATTCATTCTAGGCTATAAGTGCTCTAAGAACAGAGAGCATTTCTTTCTTTCTTCTTTTTTCTTTTTTTCTTTTCCCTTTTTTTTTTTTTAATACTAGGAAGAGCCAACATCGAAGCATCAGAAAGCAAGGTTGCTATGAATGCTTGGCAGCCATAAGCCAGTAAAGAGGGCATTTCTGTTTAATTCCGTGTAGAGTCAGGCACATATGAGCAGCTCAATAAACACCTGCTGGAAGAATGAATGGTTCCATTCCTTATAAACATGGAATTGGAAAGAGTAAGTTAGGAGAAGGGCCTCAGCAAGTGGAGGCCAGGCTGAGATGGGCCCTTCTCTCATTCTTCCTAGTCCCCTACCTTCCTGACAGCCAAGGATCTAAACTCTGTAGACCTGCCATCGTGGCCTCAGGAGAGGGGACATGAAGCCCCAAGTCAAGTCTCTGAGTATCACATGCTTGGAGAATGTTGACCCATGGATTGAGAGAAAGTACAACCCAGCTACCCTTCGGTTCCCATGGCCACACACCCAAGAATTGCCAGGGTCCAGGTCAAGGGAGAAGGTAATTATGCCAGAGGTCACAAGTGACAACCAACAAGTATTTACTGAGTGCCTGCTCTTTGGTCAGTCAATAAATATTTATTAATTACATATTTTGCATCAAATACAGTACCTGGCACTGCAGATGCAAAAGATGAATAAGATGCTCTTGCTCTCTAGGGATGAATATGTGGGTGCCAAGGGGAGATGCAGAGCCCACTGCACTACTGCATCAGGCTTCTGCTTAGCCCTGACAAGCTCATGTCATGACTGGCAGTTCCTCAGTGTCTGTAAGTAAAGGCCTATCCTGTGTGTGTTCCCTTGAGCAAAACAAAAAGTTTTCCATTTAAACTCTATTTTGCCAGCCATGATGGATCACACCTGTAATCCCAACACTTTGGGAAGCCAAGTTGGGTGGATCGTTTGAACTTAGGAGTTTGAGACCAGCCTGGGCAACACAGCAAGAACCCATGTCTATAAAAAAATGTAAAACTAAAATTTAGCCAGGTGTAGTGATGCATGCCTGTGGTCCCAGCCACATAGGAGGCTGAAGTGAGAGAATCTCTTGAGCCCAGCAGGTCGAGGCTGCAGTGAGCCATGATCATGCCACTGCACTCCAGCCTGGGCAACAGAGTGAGACACTGTCTCCAAAAATTAAAAATAAAAATAAAATTAAAATCATCCTTTAAAAGGTGGTAGAGGCCAGGCACGGTGGCTCACGCCTGTAATCCCAACACTTTGGGAGGCCAAGGCAGGCGGATCACCTGAGGTCGGGAGTTCGAGACCACCCTGACCAACATGGAGAAACTCCGTCTCTACTAAAAATACAAAATTAGTCGGGCGTGGTGGCATGTGCCTGTAATCACAGCTATTCAGGAGGCTGAGGCAGGAGAATCACTTGAACCCGGGAGGAGGCGGTTGCGGTGAGCTGAGATAGCGCTATTGCACTCCAGCCTGGGCAACAAGAGTGAAACTCCGTCTCAAATAAATAAATAAATAAATAAATGGTGGTAGAATTGCTGGAACCCAGGAGTCGGAGGCTGCAGTGAGCCAAGATCGCGCCACTACACTCTGGCCTGGGGAACAGAGTGAGACTCCATTTCAAATAAATACATAAAATAAACTCTATTTTTTCCTTTTTCCTTTTTTTTTTTTTAAATGACTGTCCATCAGTTTGACTGGCCCAAGAGGTATAGGCGTGGACTGCAGCGCAATGAGCCAGAGGAATGCCTGGACTGGATATTCAACTCAGAGTGACATTTTCACAACTCTGGTCATGAGGCTTGAAGTGACAAACTGCAAGATCAGGATGACTGCTCCCAGATAAGAGTCTGCCCCTGGTGAGCAGCCATCAGGCAGCTGACAGGGAGCACAGAACAGGGATTATGTACTCGAGTGACAGCCTGGCGTGGTGACCTGGCTTCCTGCCAGGGCCAACCTCCCTGTTGGCTAAATGACCCAGGGCATTCTCCCCCACAGCAGCGGAATCTTCCAGAGCCTCCTTAACCAGCCTGTTTGCTCCTACCACCACCTTGTGCGTGAGATTATGCTGGGCGTGACACAGTGATGACACCGTTGCTTGCTCTATAGCTAAACGGGCCAAAGTCAAAATCACAGAAGTCACTTGGATAAGGCAGAAACACACAGACACTGCCACGGAGCCAGCAGACTCTCCCAGCAACCCCAGTTCAGGGAGGTGAGCCTTCCTGAAGCAAAGAGTTGCAGCACGGTGCAGTAAATACCACGTTCAACCAAGTGAAGCTGCCAGTATCAGATCATTTTTGCCTACAAAAACAAAACTTTCATATGGTCCAGCAGTCACTGACTCTTACATTATGTAGCATATCCTATGTGCCAGGCAAAATTCTTTTTTTTTTTTTTTAAGAGACAGGGTCTCACTGCATTGCCCAAGCTGGAGTGCAGTGGCACGATCATAGCTCGGTGCAGCCTTCACCTCCTGGACTCAAACAATCCTCCTGCCTCAGCCTCTGGAGTAGCTGGGACTACAGGTGCATGCTACCATGCCTGGCTCAGGCAAGGTTCTAATCTCTCCACACACAAACTCACCTCATTTATATAACAACCCCATGAGGAGGGTACGTGATTATCCCTGTTTTACAGACAGGGCTGAGGAAGTGGCTGCCAGTCAGTGGCGACAATTCAAACACAGGCACCCTGGCCCCAGAATCCACACTCTCCACCCCTACCCTGACCTGCCTCTGCCAGAAGTGTGCAGAGTTTGGGAAAATCACAGAGTAAGGGCCAAGATGCTCAAAAAGGCTTCCAGAAGGAAGTCAGGCCTGAGGAAGCTGTACCCTCTGATCCCTGACACAGTGACCGAAGGCCTTCATCTCATTTGAGTATGCTCAAGTTTGACTCAAGTTACCCAGTGGCTCCTCGCCTACAGAAAGGGAGCTGTCCCCAAGGGTTCAAGTCCCTCCACACAAATTCACTTCAGGTTCACATTATCTTTATTTTTATTTATTTATTTTGAGACAGGGTCTCATTCTGCCACCCAGGCTGGAGAGCAGTTGAGTAATCCCGGCTCACTGCAGCCTTGACCTCCCAGGCTCAAGCCTCCCACCTCAGCCTCCCGAGTAGCTGGGATTGCTGGTGCGTTCCACCGCTCTCAGCTAATTTTTGTATTTTTTGTAGAGATGGGGGTCTCACTATGTTGCCAAGGCTGGTCTTGAACTTCTGGGCTCAAGCGATCCTCCTATCTTAGCCTCCCAAAGTGCTAGGATTACAGGGGTGGCCCACGTTCACTTTATAAACATCTGTTGCATAAACAGATCTGAGTGAGGAGAAAAAGAATGAATGAGCAAAAACAGAGTGCAAATGTGTTCATTAACATAGAAAAAGAAAAGTGCCGGAATGACTGGAATCCCCAGGTATGTGGAGTTGGGGGGCGCTGAGCTTTCCAATTACATTACCTGGTGCGTATTTCGCAAAAACCCCATGGGGGAAATATTGTCATTGAATTTTACAAATGAGGAAGCCTATTGGGAGAGGTGACTGAAGCTAACTGCCCCCAAATTCTGTACTTGGCAGGGTCAAGATTCTGACCACCCTGTTTTCACACCTGCTTCTGCCTTCCAAGCTGGTGGGTACTTTCTGCTCCCAGCAGGAAAATTAACTTGGGAAATCCTATTAAGATGATCCCACTGCTGGCAGAGTACAGGCCCAGTTTACAAGGAGCCAGAAGGTCTCTGGGAATAGCTTCTGGCTGTGAGCGCCTGATTCTCCATCCTCCACCATGCAGCCATCCAGCTGCCAACCAGAAGACAACATGTAACTGGACAGTCAGGGTATGCCTGCCCTGGTCTCTGCTGGAGAAACTGGAGACTCACTCTCTCACTCCGGCACCTTTTCCAATATTCCTTATCAGCCACCAAAAGCTACTGCCATTACAACATTACCTCATGATGGGCATATTACAATTTCCTAGATTACATCTTATCTGACATTAGCTACATTTTAGGGTTGTTGCTTCCTGGCACTTTAATTTTAAAAGTAAGCTATCTCCAAATCACTGAAGAGGATGAGTTACAGCTACTTCCATCCATTCTCTGAGCCTCATTTACAGAAACTAACCTTTTCTTCCACAGGCCTGGATTTCAGGGTGCACTCCTGTGCTGGTTCTATAGCCTTCTAGCCATTAACTGTAATAAGGAATGATAATGTTCTTTATCTCAATTATTTTGTTTTCTATTTTTGGTGGTTGGCATGAGAGGAAGTACAGGCAGAATCTGATTGTGTAAAATTGTCATCTTGATAGCAGTGCCCTTTTGCAAGACATGGGTCACCAAGCTCCTAAAGAATTTTTTTTTCTTTTCTTTTTGAGACAGGGTCTCGCTCTGTCACCCAGGCTGGAGTGCGGTGGTGCCATCATGGCTCACTGCAGCCTCAAACTCCCAGGCTTAAACTGTCCTCCCACCTCAGCTTCCCAAGTGGCTGGGACCACAGGCACGCACCACCATGCCTGGCTAATTTTTTTTGTAGAGACAAGGGTCTCACTTTGTTGCCCAAGCTGGTCTTGAAGCCCTGAGCTCAAGTGATCCTCCTGCCTCAGCTTCCCAAAGTGCTGAGATTACAGGCATGAGCCACCTTGCCCAGAGGGACTATTTCTTCATATAATTATTAACTTTAACTACAGGGATTAGGTATCATATAAAGAGATATCAAAGATATAACTTGGTGCAACATTACCATATAATCATCAAGGGTTAATAAGTATAAAGAGGAAAGAACGTGGCCAGGCCCAGTGGCTCACACCTGTAATCCCAGCACTTTGGGAAGTCAAGGTGGGTGGATCACCTGAGGTCAGGAGCCCAAGACCAGCCTGACCAACATGGTGAAAACCCATCTCTACTAAAAATACAAAATTAGCCGGACATGGTGGCACAAGCCTGTAGTCCCAGCTACTCGGGAGGCTGAGGCAGGAGAATTGCTTGAACCCAGGAGGCAGAGGTTGCAGTGAGCCGAGATGGCACCATTGCACTCCAGCCTTGTTTCACTCAACAAGAGTGAAACTGCATCTCAAAAAAAAAAAAAAAAAAAGGAAAAGGAAAATAAAAAGAACGTGTTTTTACAAAATATAACTTGCCCACATTGTATACCCTACCACTAATGAGACAAAGAAAAACCTCCGATGGAGTATTTGAGGAGCGGATGGGCATTGAAATCACTGTCTGTTTGACTTTCCTCCATTTGTTTCCAGATGGCAACCGCCAATAGTGTAAGGAGGAAAGGAGGAAAGGAGATGGAGACTTCATTCAGTTCCTCAGGAAATCCACTCCCTTCTAGGGCATGGCAAACGACAAAGGAAAAAGAACAAAGCTAGGAAATGGGAAAGTTGTGGCCCAGGCTGGAGTGCAATGGTGTGATCTCAGCTCACTGCAACCTCCGCATCCCAGGCTCAAACAATTGTCCTGCCTCAGCTTCCCGAGTAGCTGGGACTACTGGTGCACACCACCAAGCCTGGCTAATTTTTGTATTTTTTGTAAAGACAGGATTTCACCACATTGACGAGGCTGGTCTCCAACTCCTGTCCTCAAGTGATCCATCCTCCTCAGCCTCCCAAAGTGTTGGGATTACAGGCATGAGCCACCACAGCCGGCTTCTGTGGGTTTTTTTTTTTTTTTTTTTTTGGTTTGGTTTGGTTCTGTTTTGAGACAAGGTCTTGCTGTGTTGCCCAGGCTGGCCTTGAACTCTTGGGCTCAGGGGATCATCCTGCCTCAGCCTCCAGAGTAGCTGGGACTACAGGCTCATCACCATGCCCAGCTTTATCTGTTATCTAATGTCTTCAGGTTTTTGTGGCTGAATTTGGATGAAGGGATTGAAGGCTAAAAATTATAAAGTATAGGCAGGGTGCAGTGGCTCATGCCTGTAATCCCAGCACTTTGGAAGTCCAAGGCAGGCAGATCACGAAGTCAGGAGTTTGAGACTAGCCTGGCCAATATGGTGAAACCCTGTCTCTACTGAAAATACAAAGATTTGTCGGGTGTGGTGGCGTGCGCCTGTAATCCCAGCTACTCAGGAGGCTGAGGCAGAAGAATCACTTGAACCCGGGAGGTGGATTTTCAGTGAGCCAAGATCACGCCACTGCACTCCAGCCTGGGCGACAGAGCAAGACTCCATCAAAAAAAAAAAAACAAAAAAACAGATAAAGTCTCACTCTGCCACCCAGGCTGGAGTGCAATGGCACACTTGGGGCTCACTGCAACCTGCGCCTTCCGAGTTCAAGCGATTCTCCTCCCTCAGTCTCCCGAGTAGCTGGGATTACAGGTGCTCACCACCAGGCCCAGCTAATTTTTGTATTTTTAGTAGAGACGGGGTTTCACCGTGTTGGTCATGCTAGTCTCAAACTCCTGACCTCAAGTGATCCGCCCACCTTGGCCTCCCAAAGTGCTGAGATTACAGCCGTGAGCCACTGCGCCAGGGAAGAAAAAAAAAATTCCTTTTATTTGCAAAGAGAATAGGTGCAGTGCCTTTGATCAGGCAATATTATCTAGCTAGAATGTGAAGACACTGTTTTTCAGCATGTTTCTTTTTAGAGTTATCTTCTCCGTATAGCAAGTGATAGAAAATTTCCATTTATATTAGCAAAAAGAAGCTTTTTATTTTTTATCTTAAAATTTTCAAAATAAAAAACAGAAAGAATAGTACAATGAATAACCGTATCCTCACCACAGAGATTCAACCATTCTTTACAATCTCATCTATAATTTATTTTTTGTCCAAAAACTTAAAACTAAATTACAGACATTGTGACACTTTTCTCCTGAAATACTTCAACATGCAATTCCAGAAAACAAGAATATTCTTCCACAAAATCATTACCCATTATCACACATAATAACATTAATAATTCCCTCATGCTGTCTAGCCCATGTTCAATTAGGAAGGTGGTTTTTGTTAAATAAATTCACTTTAAACATGTGAGATGATTGAAAGAAGAAAACATTAGGTAAATAATAGTAAATAATAATATAGGTGATATATGGATATGGGCAAAAGTCTGATGATGGCGGGTTTTATAAAACTCTAGCTTGAGGCTGGGCGCGGTGGCTCAAATAAAATCTCTACCGGGTTTGGTGGTGGGCACCTGTAATCCCAGCTACTCAGGAGGCTGAGGCAGGAGAATCACTTGAACGTGGGAGGCAGAGGTTGCAGTGAGCAGAGATCATGCCATTGCACTCCAGCCTGGGTAACAAGAGTGAAACTCCGTCTCAAAAAAAAAAAAAAAAAAAAAAAAAAAAGAGGCTAGCACCAGAGAATGCTTTCAAGTTTTCAACACTATGATCTAGCCTAAGCTGCAATTGGTATGCTAGCTTAAAAACTAATGCCTGGGAGGCCAGGCGCGGTGGCTCATGCCTGTAATCCCAGCACTTTGGGAGGCTGAAGTGGACGAATCATTTGAGGTCAGGAGTTCAAGACCAGTCTGTCCAACATGGTGAAACTCTGATCTGTACTAAAAATACAAAAAGTAGCTGGGCGTTGTAGTGCTCACCCGTAATCCCAGCTACTTGGGAGACTGAGGCAGGAAAATCACTTGAACCCAGAAGGCAGAGGTTGCAGTGAGCCAAGATCAAACCACTGTACTCCAGCCTGGGCGACAGAGCAAGACTCTGTCTTGAAAAAACAAACAAACAAAAAAAACTAATACCTGGGAAAGGTAGAGACGATAAAATATGCAATCTAGGCTGTGTAGGAAAAGGAAATAGAACAGGAAAGATGCTCATAGATTGGGAGAAAATTAAGTGGGCCAAGAAATAGAAGTCATCTCTTGATCAAAAAATAAGTGTGTTGGGAAGAACAGTGAAAAAATGAAGTATAGGAATAAAAAGAGAATAACATGTCTCCAAATGTAGGATGGGGTTACAACTTGATAAGGCCATCTTAAATTGAAAATTTCTGTAAGTCAAAAGTGTGTTTTCAACTTGGGATATTTTCAACTTACGATAGGCTTCTCCAGAGGTAACCCTATCATAAGTTGAGGAAAATAGTGAATGCATATGGCTTTCACACCACCGTAAAGTCATAAGTCCAACCACCATAAGTCAGGGACATCTGTATACACGAGCATAATTAGAGGTTATCTCTGGGAGGTATGACAAGGGGCAATTTGTCCTCTCTGCGGTATCAGTCTCAACCTTACAAGCTGTAGAATCAGGCTGCCTGGTTTGAATTCTGGTTATGCCACTATCAGCTGTGGACCCTTGAACTGATTACTTGAGATCTCTTTGTTTCAGTTAACTCACCTATAAAACAGGAGGAAACAGTAGTTTCTACCCTATGATACACTATAACACTTTCCTAACACGTAAGTGATAAACATGACCCCAAAAATTCAGTGGCAAAAAGGATGGGTTTGTGTTAAGGCAAGGTTAATGAAAAACAGGATTTTTGTCAGTCTGTTTTGTCATGAAAAGCACAAAAGTAAAGATAAACCTACACTGTGCTCAACTGACCAGAAACAATGCCCTCACCATCTCTCTCCTGTTCCTCCACCCTCAGGTGCAGGAAGGGACAGGAGTGGGAGGAAGAAATGACACCGTTGGGCAGAGCAGGAGAGCACAGCCTCTGGAAATTAAATTTGAAAGTTGATGGGAGGCCGGGTGCAGTGGCTCACACCTGTAATCCCAGCACTTTGGAAGGCCAAGGCAGGTGGATTACTTGAGGTCAGGAGATCAAGACCAGCCTGGCCAACATGGTGAAACCCCATCTCTACTAAAAACACAAAAATTAGCCTGGTGTGGTAGGGGGCACCTGTAATCCCAGCTACTTGGAAGGCTGAGGCAGGAGAATCACTTGAACCCAGGGAGGTAGAGGTTGCTGTGAGCCAAGGTCACGCCATTGCACTCCAACCTGGGCGACAAGAGCGAAACTTCATCTCGGAAAAAAAAAAAAAAGTTGGTAAGAAATGGGAAAGGGAGGGCTAGGATCAAGGTTAACCTCAGAACTGTGGATTATAAAGGGCCTTCCTCTCGAAAAGAACAGGAATTTATTCAGCTCCCATATGAGAACGAGAGCAGGCAGAGGCCGGGAGATAATTACCAATAGCCAATCATGTTTTATGGGATATTGATTTATCACTTGGTTTTACTATACATGTCAAGTGCTGAGAACAGACCCTGGCGCATCAAAAGCACTCAATAAATGTGCACTATCATTTGTGTTATTGCCTCCCTCCTTTTCATTTCCACTCTCTTTCCCTATTTCAGGCTCGTGTTACAACTTGGCTGGTTTACGTTAGCTCTTCCTAACTGGTCTCCTGTCCTAGGCAGAGAATTCCAAGAAGCCACCAGGAATTCACCCACACTTCAAGTTTCTGAGTGCCTGCCACATCCCAGCCTAGAACCTAGAGGTTCTTCAATATGCTTGTGAAGGAGTGCAGGGAACTTCCCCTCAAATTTGGCTCCCTGGTATAACAAGTATTTGGAATTACAGGTCCTTAGAGATGAGTGGATGCTGCCAGAGACTTTTCCCCTATCTACACTAAGCCCAGCAGACCCACTAAGGAGAACAATTTGTGTCCTTCCCCCCTCTTAATCCTCTACCTCTCCCAAAGCACAGAGTGAAGTTGCTCTCTGAAGTTCCTTTATCTGCCTAAAGTCCAGACCTACCAGAGAACAAAGCAATGACCTCTGGTCCCTTCCCTGAGTTTTCATTAACTGAACCCTTACTGCAGGAAGGCAGGCAGAAGTCTGTCAACAAACCTAGATGGATTTTTGTCACAAACCATTGTCTGCTCTGCAGGCTCAAAAGACTTTGTCCCAAGACCATTGTATGTTCTTCAAGCCCATTGAATTCTCTAAAAATCGGTTACTACCCCTAAAATCCTCCACAGACCGCCCCCCCACCATCTTCCTTTTCCCTAAGAAGTAGGGTATATAAGAATCTGTACCCCATTGGGATACTGGGCAATCACTCTGTGACTCTGCCCATGCACACGGTAGTAATGCATCTGTATGCCTTCTCTTTTATTAACCTGCATTTTTGTGAGTTGAATTTTCAGCAAAACTTCGCCCCTGTACTTGGTACTATAGTACCTTGTCATGCTGACCACAGCCAACCAGACCATGGTGGACATATAACATGAAGGCTAGTCAGCTGCCCTGATGTAATCTGCACAGCATGCAGCCTCTATATTAGCTTGTGATTGGCTGGTCAAATCATATTCTGCAATTCAGAGAATTCAGATGCAAGATATAGGAAAGACCAGCTGACACAAAAGAAACAGAGGCAAACAACACAGAGACAAGGCAATAAACAGAACTCCTAGGGTAGGAGAAGTCATGAATAAGTAGAGAATACCACTTCTTTCCCTCCTCTTCTCTGGTCTCTACTGAACCCCAAACATAAATGAAGGCGTTTAACACCTTGGCCACGGGAGTCCTCTCTGGTCCTAATCCCAATATTATCTTGGGCAATGCCCAAGGTCTCTGTGGATATCCAAGCTCTACAAATCCAGTGATTTTCTCTTTGAGTGTCTTTCTTCCTCCAGTATAGCCTTAACACTTCTTAAATCTAGGAATCCCAGAGTCACAAAACTGTAAAGCTGGAAGGGGTCTTCTGGAGATCACGCTTCTCAAATATCTTAATTGACTTTCCACTGTTAATGGCCTTTCAGGTTGCCTTTTGGAAATAACTATCAAAAGCCCTATGAGCACATACCTTTGCCCCCAGCAATTCTACTTCTAGTCATTTATTCTGTGGAAAATAATCAGACAAGCATCAAAAAAATGACAAAATAGATTTTTTTTTTTTTTAAGACGGAGTCTCTGTCACCCAGGTTGGAGTGCAGCGGCACGATCTTGGCTCACTGCAACCTCCGCCTCCCGGGTTCAAGTGATTCTTTCTCCTGCCTCATCCTCCTGAGTAGCTGGTATTACAGGTACACACCACCACGCCCAGCTGATTTTTGTATTTTTAGTAGAGACAGGGTTTCACCATGTTGACCAGGCTGGTCTCGAACTCCTGACATCAAGTGACCAGCCTGCCTCAGCCTCCCAAAGTGCTTGGATTACAGGTGTGAGCCACCGTGTCCAGCCAAAATGGCATAATAGAATATTAATTGCAGCATGCTTCACAATAGCAAAAGTTAAAAAATTACGTGTGTAACAATAAGAGATTGGTTAAATAATTGTTGGTATCTACAATCATTAGGTGAAACACTACTAACACATTATTAAAATTGGAATAGAGGCCGAACGCAGTGGTTCACGCCTGTAATGCCAGCACTTTGGGAGGCTGAGGCAGGAGGATTACTTGAGGTCAGGAGTTCGAGACCAGCCTGGCCAACATGTTGAAACCCCATCTCCACTAAAAATACAAAAATTAGCTGGGTATGGTGGTGCGTGTCTGTAGTCCCAGCTACTCAGGAGGCCGAGGCAGGAGAATCACTTGAACCCATGAGGCAGAGGTTGCAGTGAGCCGAGATGGTGCCACTGCACTCCAACCTGGGTGACAGAGTGAGACTCCACCTCCATCCATCAATCACTCAATTAAATTGGAATAGACATTCTAAATTTAACACAGAAACATGTTCTTGCCATCTTCATAAGTAAAAATTTTGGGTCAAAAAATGAGGTCTAATGTTCCGATTTTATTTATTAGAAAGCATATTTTAAATATGTTTACAGAAACAGAAAAAAACCTGAAAAGATTTTATAGAACTTCTAAGTGGTAGAAATATAAGTGACTGCATTTTGTTTTGTTTTTTGTTTGTCTGTAACTTCTAAATGTCTGCATTGAACATACATTTTTGAAAAATAAAACAAAAATCCTACCAAAGGCCCAGATCAGGTGGTATCCCATCTATAAACTGTTGAGAGAAGCCCCTCCAGAAATGCATCCCCCACTCTGAACGCAGACACGTTTACATCTGTTTCTGACGCCAACACACACTCCCAGCTGTGACCCTGAGAACACAGCTGCCTTCACTCTACAGTACCAGGTGCAGTGTTTCAACACTGTGGTGGGTTATATATTATAGTAGCCCCCAAAAAGATTTTCCCACACCCCAAAATCTGTGATGGTGACCTTAGTTGGGAAAAGAGTCTTTGCAGCTACAATTAAGACGGGATTGTCCTGGATTATCTGGATGGGCCCTAAACCCAATGACAAGTGTCCTTGTAAGAGGCAAAAGATGAGAGGCACATGGACAAAGGAGAAGGCCGTGTGAAGATTGGGGCAGAGAGTGGCGTGATGCAGCCCCCAGCCAAAGCCGCTGGAGGCACCAAAAGCTGGGAGAGGCCAGGAAGGACTCTCCCCTAGAGTCTTCTGATAGACGGTGGTCCCACTAACCCCTTGATTTTGGACTTCTGCCCTCCCGAACTGTGAGAAAATAAATTTCTGTTGTTTTAAGCCACCAAGTTTGTGGTCATTTGTTAGGGCACATACAGAAAACGAACACAGACATAGTAGACACTTGGTCAATACTGGTGGGAGGAAAAAAATTGCTTTAATGACTGTGTCCTTAGTTCTACTAGTTTTGATTCGGAAAGAAAGAATATCTCATTAAAATATTTTTTGATTAGGTGGTGTGGTGGTGTGTGCCTGTGGTCCCAGCTACTTGGGAGGCTGAGGCAGGAGGATCACTTGAGCCTGGAGGATGCCGTGAACTGTGATCACACCATTGCACTCTAGCCTAGGCAACAGAACAAGACCCTGTCTTTACAAAAAAAATTTTTTTTTAAGAAAGCAAAAGCCAGGCATGGTGGCGCATGCCTGTAATCCCAGCACTTTCGGAGGCTGAGGCAGGCGGATCACGAGGTCAGGAGATCAAGACCATCCTGGCTAACACAGTGAAACCCCATCTCTACTAAAACTACAAAAAATTAGCCGGGCGTGGTGGCGGGCGCCTGTAATCCCAGCTAATTGGGAGGCTGAGGCAGGGGAATGGCATGAACCCGGGAGGCGGAGCTTGCAGTGAGCCGAGATGGCGCCACTGCACTCCAGCCTGGGCAACTAAGCGAGACTCCATCTCACAAAAAAAACCAAACAAACAAAAAAAAGAAAGCAAAAAATACTTTTCTAAACCTTAGTTTCTTATGATCAAATTTGAATTTTTCCTCCCATCAAAATGGCAAAGCGTTACTTGGTGATCCATTAGCCTTGATTTGAAATAAGAAATAAAAGTAATTGACTCTCTTACAATGTCTTTATGGAGACAAAGTTCAGCCACACTTTCTCAAATGCTAAGCTCCTTATTTTGCCCAGAGCATGAGTTCAGTATTCATGGCCTTGCACAGACTTCACCAAACACTGACAATGAGTTTTAAAGGACAATGACAGGGTTGAGAGGTTGAAAAGTGGACCTACTTTTCTCCTCTATCTGTTCTTAGAAATCCATGTCATTTTCTTCCTGGGAACCAACCCAGTTCTTTAATCCACACGCACAGTTCCTGTCCATGGAAGGCATAATTTGGCCTCATGTGTTTGCTTTTTGTTTTGCTTTCGAATCAAATGCTTCAGTGCTTTGATAACTAAAAATGAAAGAGGAGAGAAAATGTGTTTTTCTTCAGGCTTAAAAAAAAAATCAGTGTTGAACCCTCAAGGGATTATTGTGTAAAACATGATGTAAAGAAGCTGCAGTAGAGTGGGGACGGGTCTGGAGAGAAAGGGATGCTGAAACCTCATCCATTGCTTGTAGAATAATGTGTGCCCAGAGTGACAGGGTGCGCCAGCCCCAGAGGTCACCTCTCATCCATGTGGTGTACAACCGCGTAGGGTTCCAAAGGTAAGCTCCCAGTAGGGATCCCAGTGTGAGGAAAGGATGTATGGGAAGAATCTAAGTGTGAGTGTATGGAGGGCTCATGCAGGCCAAGATGTGGGTTTGCCTATCCTGCTCGCAACGTTTCTGCCAAGACTACCATCTGCGGACTCACAGAATGCCTTATGCACCATCATGGAATTCCACACAGCATTGCCTCTGACCTAGGCACTCACTTTATGGGTAAAGAAGTGGCAGTGGGCTCATGCTTATGGAATTCACTGGTCTTACCATGTTCCCCATCATCCTGAAGCAGCTGGATGGATAGAATGGTGGAATGGCCTTTTGAAGTCACAATTACAACACCAACTAAGTGGAAAGTCGGATGTGAAGAAAGTCAGATCTGCCCAAGCCTCTGCACCGCATTGCACTCGCCCGCCCCACCCTCCTCTCTCATCCAAAGATGCTCCGTGACTTCAGGCCATGCTCCGCTTCCTTTTTCCTGACACTTGCCTTTCACAAGCCTACTTCTCCAGGAGCCTGTTGCTCTGAAGCCTGCACTGTGATGAGGGCTGGTCTGCCGAGGACCTGGGTGAGCTTCTGAAGGAGAAGCTGCTGGAAGCATGTGTTCCTGGGCTTGGGCTACCAGTGCAAGCTTACTAAACGACAGAGCAGGTTCTTTTCTTCCCTTTGGCCTTCTTACCTCAGGGAGCAAGGTGAAGGGTCTAGGAAAAAGAGAAGCCCGTGACTCTAGGGCCAGCTAGAGATGAAGGAGTGTCTGCAGTCTGGAGACAGACCAGGGGTTAGGCTGTTCGAGGGGGTAGGGACCAGACCGATCACTAGATTTGATCTAGATGAGAAGGAGAATGCCAGGGGATGGGATGGATTATTTCTTCTGAGGCATAAATTGCATTTTAATCCTAGTGGCCTTTTTTGCTTTGTTTTATTTTGTTTTTCAGACAGTCTCGCTCTGTCGCCCAGGCTGGAGTGCAATGGCACAATCTTGGCTCACTGCAACCTCCGCCTCCTGGGTTCAAGCGATTCTCCCGCCTCAGCCTCCCAATCCCAATATCAAGTAGCTGCGATTACAGGTGCCTGCCACCATGCCCAGTTAATGTTTGTATTGTTAGTACAGACAGAGTTTCACCATGTTGGCCAGGCTGGTCTCGAATTCCTGAGCTCAAGTGATCTGCCCACCTTGGCCTCCCAAAGTGCTGGGATTACAGGCGTGAGCCACCACACCTGGCCTTATTTATTTATTTATTTATTTATTTTAAGACAGGGTCTTGCTCTGTTGCCCAGCCTGGAGTGTGGAGTGCAGTGGCACCATCATAGCTCACTGCAGTCTTGACCTCCTGGATTCAAGCAATCCTCCCACCTCAGCCTCCAGAGTAGCTGGGACCACAGGTGCATGCCACAATGCCAGCTAATTCCTGGTGGCCTTCAATGGCTAAAAAGAAAACAAGACTAACATGGGCACTTTGGCCAGTGGCCAGAATAATAATTTTTTTTTAACAAAACAGGTCTTAAAATGCTCTGTAAAATCACATTAAAACATAGCTTTACTATGCACTTAAGATTTTAATAAATAAATGGCTTTGAAAAATATTTCTTGTAATTGGAAAATTGAAATATACTTTTCAATTTGCTACCCCAGAAGGAAACGCGATACCGCAGGACTGCTATCAGTATTACAAGTCAACTGGAGTTACTTAAAAAGAACAACATATTGTCGACTGATTTGATGAAATGGTGTAATAGATCAGGACAAGAAGGAATAACCAAATCCACCAGGAACACAACTTTTGTCCAAAAATAAAGAACCAGCTGGGCATGGTGGCTCAAGCCTGTAATCCCAGGACTTTGGGAGGCTGAGGTGGGCAGATCACCTGAGGTCAGGAGTTCGAGACCAGCCTGGCCAACACAGTGAAACCCTGTCTCTACTAAAAACACAAAAATTAGCTGGGCGTGGTGGTGCATGCCTGTAATCCCAGCTACTCAGGAGGCTGAGGGAGGAGAATCGCTTAAACTCAGAAGATAGAGGTTGCAGTGAGCCAAGATCAGGCCACTGCACTCCAGCCTGGGCAACAGAGCGAAACTCCCTGTCTCAAAGAAAAAAAAAAAAAAAAGAACCAAACCAACAAATTAGAAAGACTAGAATTAGACCTCACACAGTGCAGCAGGAATCTGGTGACAGCTGACATCCTGGAAGAGTGGTAGGCACACTGCAGAATGAGAGCTTTCCCTCACTTCTATGGGGTCAGATATTTCTGTTGATTGATCAGAACCAAAAACATTTCAGGAGAAAGCAGTATATGGTATATTGGATTAGACTGTGCACCCCAGCACCCTGAATCCCTGCCCACCATGGGCTAGTGGGTCCTTGCCCTTGGCACCTAGCAAGGTCTGAATTGTAACTGGATGTGGCCTAATATTTTCTTCCATGGGACATTGAATACAAAATACATGGTGTAAACAAATAAGAAAACAGAACTCATTTTACATAGTTTGTTTTGATCATTCCTTACACTCACAGTTTCTCTTATCAACTATTTTTTCAGCAGATGAAATTTAGCCAAATCTGATTATGTCTGGTCCTTACTTAACTTAAAATGGCCCATAGGGCGCCAGTGTTCCTGCCCCTGTTCACCTCTCCAGCCTCAGCCCTCCCCTCGCCACCTGCCCAGCCCCATCCCATTATACACCCCCTCTCATCCTACTGGCCCACTTGCAGTTCCTGTCTTGTCTCTGGACCTTCACAAATGCTGTCCCTGAAATACCCTCCCTCTCCCTACCCCTGCCCTCCACCTCCCCTCCTGCTGATGCACCATTCAGGTCTCAGCACAAATGTGAAATGCCCTTTTCCAGTGCTCTAAATAGCATGTTGTGTAACCCCCATCAAAAAAGTGCTCACCTTTTTATAGGTGGCCTTGGAGGAGGCATTGGCTATATGTTTCACCATGTGGACCCCGGAGCTGAGGGAAGTTGATTTTTGAAGAGAGAGGGAGATTGAGAGAAAGAGAGAGAATAGAAGGAAGCCAACACATGGAAAAGTTCAGAGGCAAAGGATCAGGTATGCTCCGACAATAGGTGTCCCTGGTTCTGGGGTTGCAAGGAGCTCCAAGGTGCTCGCCATATATCCACACTCTTGCTAAAGCTGGGCTTCTGCTACTTGGTGGCCAAGGAGTCCCATGACTATGTTCCTACCAGGGCTGCAAGCTCTGTGAATATAGTGGCAGTGTCTGGACCGGTCACATCTGTATGTTGAACAAATGGATGAACAATATAGGCCTGCCGGGCATGGTGGCTCACGCCTGTAATCCCAACACTTTGGGAGGCTGAGGAGAGTGGATCACCTGAGCTCAGGAGTTCAAGACCAGCCTGGCCAACATCGTGAAACCCCATCTCTACTAAAATTACAAAAATTATCTGGACGTGGTGGCAGGCACCTGTAGTCCCAGCTTTTTGGGAGGCAGAGGCAGGAAAATCACTTGAAACTGGGAGGCAGAGGTTGCAGTGAGCCAAGATCACGCCATTGCACTCCAGCGTGGGTGACAAGAGTGAAACTCCATCTCAAAAATAAATAAATAAATAAGATAGATAGATAGATAGATAGATAGACAGACAGACAGATAGATATAGATAGATAGATATAGATATAGATAGATAGATACCAAAGGTCTAAGAATCCTCAGAACTCATGGAAAATATTGTTGGGGAAGAGTCCTGCATTGGGAGTCAAAATCCTGTGTGATAATTTTGTCCCTATCACTAAATAATTGTGACCATAGACAATTTATTGAACCTCTTGGAGCCTCTATTTGGTCCTGGAGAGACCACAACATCACATAACAGCATGACATAACATTAAATGGTTGGAACACAATACAAAGACACTTTTATTATTTCACGTATGTTCCCTATACTTTGTAAATCTTTTATCTGAAACAAATTGTATATGTTAATTCCTTTTTTCATGAGATAACCAGTGTTACCACACCTAGCAACTATTATTCCATTAAAAGCAAACTATTGAAAAACCTTGACATTTCAATTATACTATACCCTCTTCCCACAGACAAATGATGCGTGGTTTTTGTTAGACTTCCTGAAATACAGGCATACCTCAGATATATTGTGAGTTCAGTTCCAGACCACTGCAATAAAGCAAGTCACATGAAGATTTTGGTTTCTCAGTGTATATACAGGTTATGTTTTCACTATACTGTAGTCTATTAAGTGTAAGATGGCATTATGTATAAATAAATAATGTACATACCTTAATTTTAAAACACTTGATTGCTTAAAAATGCTAACTATGATCTAAGTCTTCAGCAAGCCGTAATGTTTATGCTGGGGAAGGGTCTTGTCTTGATGATGGCTGCTAACTGATCAGGATGGTGGCTGCTGAAGGTTACGGAGGCTGTGGCAATTTCTAAAAAGAAGACATCAGTGAAGTTCGCAGCATCAATTTACTCTTCATTTTACAAAAGATTTCTCTGTACCATGAGATGCTGTTTGATAGCATTTTACCCACAGAACTTCTTTCAAAATTGGAGTGAATCTTCTCAAATTCTGCTGCTGCTTTATCGATTAAGTTTATGTAGTACTGTAAGATGTTTGTTGTTATTCCAACAATGTTCACAGCATCTTCACCAGGAGAAGATTTCACCTCAAGAAAATTCCATTCTTAGCCAGACGTGGTGGCTCACGCCTGTAATCCCAACACTTTGGGAGGCTGAGGCGGGTGGATCACGAGGCTAGGAGTTTGAGACCAGCCTGGCCAACATGGCACAACCCTGTCTCTACTAAAAATACAAAAATTAGCCGGGCATGGTAGTGGACGCCTGTAATCCCAGCTACTCGGGAGGCTGAGGCAAGAGAATCGCTTGAACCCAGGAGGCAGAGGTTGCAGTGAGCGAGATTGTACCATTGCACTCCAGCCTGGGCGACAAGAGCAAGACTCCGTCTAAAAAAAAAAAAAAATCCCATTCTTGGCCAGGCACGGCGGCTCACGCCTGTAATCCCAGCACTTTGGGAGGCCGAGGCAGGCAGGTCACCTGAGGTCACGTGTTCAAGATCAGCCTGGCCAACATGGTGAAACCCCGTCTCTACAAAAATACAAAAATTAGCTGGGTATAATGGTGGGTGCCTGTAATCCCAGCTATTCAGGAAGCTGGGGTGGGAGAATTGCTTGAACCTGGGAGGTGGAGGTTGCAGTGAGCCGAGATCATGCCATTGCACTCCAGCATGTGTGACAGAGTGAGACTCAGTCTCAAAAAAAAAAAAAAAAAAAAAAAGAGGAAAATCCCAATCTTTTCTCATCCTTAAAAATCAACTCCTCATCCATTCAAGTTTGATGAGATGGCAGCAATTCAGTCACATCTTCAGGCTCCACTTCTATTTCTCTTGCTGTTTCTTTCCTTTTCTTTTCTTTGAGACAGAGTTTTACTCTTGTTGCCCAGGCTGGAGTGCAACGGCGCAATCTTGGCTCACTGCAACCTCCTCCTCCCAGGTTCAAGCCATTCTCCTGCCTCAGCTTCCCAAGGCATGCACCACGATGCCTGGCTAATTTTTTGTTTTTTTTTAGTAAAGACAGTGGTCTCACCATGTTGGCCAGGCTGGTCTCAAACCCCCGACCTCAGGTGATCTGCCTACCTCAGCCTCCCAATGTGCTGGGATTACAGGTGTGAGCCACCATGCCTGGCCTTCTCATGCTGTTTCTACCACATCTGCAGTTCCTTCCTCCACTAAAATCTTGAACCTTTCAAAGTCATCCACGAGGGTTGGAAATCAACCTCTTTCAAACTCCTATTAATGTTAATATTTTGACCTTCTCCCATGAATCATGAATTGTTCTTAATTGGCATCTAGAATGGTGAATCCTTTCCTGAGAGGAATCATTATCTATGATTTTATAGCCATAGCCTTACAAAATGTATCTTTTTAAATCATAAGACTTGAAAGTTGAAATTACTCCTTGATCCACGGGCAGCAGAATGGATGCCGTATTAGGGGCACAAAAACGACATGAATCTCCTTATACATCTCCCTCAGACCTCAGACCTCTTGGATGACCAGGTGCATCATCAATAAACAGTAATATTTTGAAAATTTATTTATTTATTTTTTTTCTGAGCAGTACTTCTCAACAGTGGGCTTAAAATGTTCAGTAAACCATGCCATAAACAGATGTACTGTCATCCAGGCTTTGTTGTTTCATTTATACAGCACAGGCAGAGTAGCTTCAGCATAATTCTTAAGGACCCTAGGATTTTTGGAATGGTAAATGAGTAGCAGCTTTAAACGTAAAGTCACCAGCTGCATCAGCCTCTAACGAGAGAGTCAGCCCGTCCTTTGAAGCTTTGAAGCCAGGCACTGCTCTCTAGCTAAGAAAGTCTTAGATGGCATTCTCTTCCTTTTATTTATTTATTTATTTTTGAGACTGAGGAGTTGATTTTTAAGCATGAGAAAAAAATGGGATTTTCCTCTTTCTTTTTTCCTTTTTTCTTTTCTTTTTTTTTCTTTTTTTTTTTTTTTTTTTTTTTTTGAGACGGAGTCTTGCTCTATTACCCAGGCTGGAGTGCAATGGCGTGATCTCGGCTCACTGCAACCTCTGCCTCCCAGATTCAAGTGATTCTCCTGCCTCAGCCTCTTGAGTAGTTGAGATTACAGGCACCCACCGCCACTCTTGGCAAATTTTTGTACTTTTAGTAGAGACTGGGTTTCACCACGTTGGCCAGGCTGGTCTTGAACTCCTGACCTCAAGTGATCTGCTCACCTCAGCCTACCAAAGTTCTGGGATTACAGGTATGATCCACCATGCCTGGCCCTTTATTTTACTTTATTTATTTATTTGTATTTTACTTATTTATTTTTTTGAGATGGAGTCCCATTCTGTCACCCAGGCTGGAGTGCAGTGGCACGATCTCGGCTCACTACAACCTCTACCTCCCGGGTTCAAGCAATTCTCCTGCCTCAGCCTCCCGAGTAGCTAGGATTATAGGTGCCCGCCACCACACCCAGCTAATTTTTTTTTTTTTTATTTTTAGTAGAGACGGGGGTTTCACCATCTTGGCCAGGCTGGTCTCGAACTCCTGACCTCATGATCCACCCGCCTCGGCCTCCCAAAGTGCTGGGATTACAGGCGTGGGTCACCGCCCCTGGCCTATTTATTTATTTATTTATTTATTTATTTATTTATTTATTTTTAGTGATAGCCAAGATTTTCTTTTTTTTTTTTTTCTTTTTTTATCTTCATCTAATATAAGGCTATTGTGCCTACATTGAAAACTTGCTGTTGGCTGGGCGAGGTGGCTCACGCCTGTAATCCCAGCACTCTGGGAGGCCGAGGCAGGCAGATCACCTGAGGTCAAGAGTTCAAGACCAGCCTGACCAGGCCGGGCGAGGTGGCTCATGCCTGTAATCCCAGCACTTTGGGAGGCAGAGGCGGGCAGATCACCTGAGGTCCGGAGTTCGAGACCAGCCTGACCAACATGGAGAAACCCCGTCTCTACTAAAAATACAAAATTAGCCGGGCGTGCTTGTGCACGCCTATAATCCCAGCTACTCGGGAGGCTGAGGCAGGAGAATCACTTGAACCCCGGAGGCAGAGGTTGTGGTGAACCGAGACCATGCCATTGCATTCCGGCCTGGGCAACAATGATGAGAAAAAAAAAAAAAAAAAGACCAGCCTGACCAACATGATGAAACCCTGTCTCTACTAAAAACACAAAATTATCCGGGCATGGTGGCACATGCCTGTAATCCCAGCTACTCAGGAGGCTAAGACAGGAGAGTTGCTTGAACCCAGCAGGCGGAGGTTGCAGTGACCCAAGACTGCACTATTGCACGCCAGCCTGGGCAACAAGAACGAAACTCTGTCTCAAATAAAAAAAAAAAGATAAAAAAAACCCCTGCTGTTTAGTGTAGCCACCTTCATCAGTTATCTTAGATTTTCTGGATAACTTGCTGCAGCTTCCCCATCGGCACTTGCTATTAAATTTCACTTTGCACTTTTCTGTTATGGAGACAGCTTCTTTAAATTTTGTGAACCAAATTCTGCTAATTTCAAACTTTGCTTCTGCAGCTTCCTCACCTCTCTCAGTCTTTATAAAATTGAAAAGAGTTAAAACATTTCATTGGATTAGGCTTTGAATCTAGGGAGTATTGTGGCTACGTTGATCTTCTGCCTAGATCACTAAAACCTTCTCCGTATCAGCAATAAGGCTGCTTCACTTTCCCATTACTTGTGTGTTTACTGGAGTCGCACTTTTAATTTATTTCAAGAACTTTTCCTTCATATTCACAAGTTTGCTAACTATTTGGCACAAGAGGCCTAGCTTTGGGCCTACCTCAGCTTTTGACATGGCTTTCTCACTAAGCTTAATCATTTCTAGCTTTTGATTAAAGTGAGACATATGACTCTTCCTTTTACTTGAACATTTAAGGCCATTGTAGGGTTATTAATTGGCCTAATTTCAAATGATTGCATCTCAGAGAACAGGAAGGCCCAAAGAGAGGGAGAGAGATGGGAGAATAGCCAGTTGGTGAAGCAGTCAGCACACACATATTTATCAATTAAGTCTGCTATCTTATATGGGCGTAGTTCATGGTGTCCCAAAACAACTACAAGAGTGACATCAAAGATCACCAATTTGGGAATGATAGTAAGAGAAGTAAACCAAACAAATAGGCTTGGCACAGTGGTTCATACCTGTTATCCCAGCATTTTGGGAGGCCAAGGTGGGAGGATTGCTTGAGCTCAGAAATTTGAGACCAACCTGGGCAACATGGTGAGACCACCATCTCTACAAAAAATACAAAAATTAGCTGGACATGGTGGCACACACCTGTAGTCTCAGCCAGATGGGAGGCTGAGGCAGGAGGATTGCTTGACCTGGGAGGTCAAGACTGCAGTGCGTCAAGATCATGCCACTGCCCTCCAGCCTGGGCACAGAGTGAGACCCAGTCTCAAAAACAAGCAAATAGGCTGGGTGCGGGGGCTCACACCTGTAATCCCAGTACTTTGGGAGGCTGAGGCGGGTGGATCACCTAAGGTCAGGAGTTTGAGACCAGCCTGACCAACATGATGAGACCCTATCTCTACTAAAAAACATACAAAATTAGCCAGGCGTGATGGTGCATGCCTGTAATCCCAGCTACTCAGGAGGCTGAGGCAGGAGAATCGCTTGAACCGGAGAGGCGGAGGTTGCAGTGGGCCGAGATCGTGCCATTGCACTCCAGCTTGGGCTGCAGAGTGAGACTCCATCAAAACAAACAAACAAACAACAACAACAAAAAACAAGCAAACAAACTAAAAGATGATCACTTAACCATAGATCATCGTAACAGACATAATAATAATGAAACAGTTTGAAATATTCCAAGAATTACCAAAATGTGACACAGAGACAGGAAGTAAGCACATGCTGTTGGAAAAACAGCACAGATAGACTTGCTTGAAGCACGGTTGCCAGGAACCTTCAATTTGTTTAAAAAAAAAAAAAAGAGAGAGAGAGAGAGAGAGGTATCTGCAAAGAAGCAATGCACTAAGGTGAAGCGCAATAAAAGGAAGTATGCCCGTATTGAAAAAAGCCTGAGGACTCCTATTACCATATTCAGGGAGGCTGAGCCCTCTGGGTATCCCGGGTGGAAAACACTCTACTGGATGACTGATAAGCTCTAAAATTCAATTATTCTGATAACTTCACAGATGCCTGCAAATCAGTACAAATATATGACCTAAAGGAAATAGGCTTTACACATAGAAAGAAGTTAAAAAGAAAAATAGCTGCTTTAAGTTGGGTGCAGCTTAAGGGTTAAATACCGCTTTCAAATATATTGCCCTTGTGGTGATGATAGCATCTGCAGGCCAGTAAACTCTTGCCTCCACCTAATAATTGACTAATAACATGTATCGAGTGTCTTCTGTATGCATATAAATACTTTTCATCTATTGTCTCAATTTCCACCGGCCCCTGCTAGAGTCTTACATGTTGGTATCTTAGTCTGTTCAGGCTGCTATGACAAAAATACTATAGACTGGGTGGTTCAAATAACATTCTTTTTTTTTTTTCTCTCTCTCTCTCGCAGTTCTGAAGGCTGGAAGTACAAGATAAGGTGCCACTAGATTCAGTATCTGGTGAGGGCTTGTTTTTGGTTCACAGATTACCATCTTCTTGCTAAAACCTCAAATGTCAGAAGGAGCAAGGGGTTCTCCAGGGTCTTTCCTTTTTTAAAAAAAATTTAGATTCAGGGGATACGTGTGCACATTTACTACATGGGTATATTGCAATAATGTGTTCTGGTAGGTGCTGAGCTTCTAGAGTACCCATTACACAGATAATGAGCATGGTACCCACTAGGTAGTTTTTCAATCCTTGTCCCCACCCCACGGAGGGTCTCCTTTATATGGACACTGTCTTAGTCTGTTCTGCTGCTATCACAAAAGACCTTAGACTGGGTAATTTAGAAACAAAAGAAATGTATTACTCTCAATTCTGAAGGCTGGGAGGTCCAAGATCAAGGTACCAGCAGATTCGATGTCTGGCGAGGACCTTCTTACAGGTTCATAGATTGTGTCTCCTGCTGTGTCTTCATATGGCAGAAGGAATGAAGAAGCTCCCTTGGGTTTCTTTTATAAGGGCACTAATCTCACTCATGAGGGCTCCACCCTTATGACCAAGTCATATCCCTCTTATTACTGCATTGGAGATTAGGTTTCAACCTATGAATCTGGGTGAGGGGGGCCACAAATATTCAAACCATAGCAGGTATTAATCTTACTCATAAGAGCTCTGTCTTACAGCCTAATCAGCTACCAAAGCTCCACCTCCTAATATCATTACATTAGGGGTTATGATTTCAACATACGAATATTGGTGGGGACAAAAACAGTCATTCTATAGCAGGTAGCTACTAATATTATATCACCCCATCCTTCAGATGAAAAAATCCAAGTTCAGAGAATAGAGCTGAAACTACATCCAGACTGTCTGACTCCCGTCCTGAGCCCCTAACCTTTATGCTACACTGCTTCTTGATATCTCCATGGGCCATTAAATGACACCGCTTGAAATAAAAGCAATGGCCGAGTACTGTGGCTCACACCTGTAATCCCAGCACTTTGGGGGGCCAAGGCAGGAGAATCACCTGAGGTCAGGAGTTCAAGGCCAGCCTGGCCAAAATGGTGAAATCCCGTTTCTACTAAAAATACAAAAATTAGCCCAGTGTCATGGTGGGCGCCT